>NC_000007.14:84021930-84324960 GCF_000001405.40 Homo sapiens
TTTCTGCAAGATATTATACAATGGCAGGTTTTCAAAATGCTTTTTTGAAATTTTATGAATGTTCTTTTTACGTAGAAGAAGCTGTTCTTTTCTTTGCATTAGATAATTAATGCATTAAAATTTTCTATTTGCAATTCTTCAGAATTAGATTTTGTCAATAGGATTAAAATAATAGAAAACATGTCTCTCAATTTTATGTAGCTAAGAACAATGCATATTTGGAGATCAGAGATTCCCATTGTCCTGTGAAACTACAAGAAATTCAATAACTTGCCTTGTCATCAAAAACTCCCTACGGAAAAGGTTTACCAATATCTATTCAGATTGACCTACTTTATTAATTCCCCTCGGTAACCTAAGAAAGTTCATGATATTCACAAAGGAAGCTATTCTATGTCCAGTCACTCCCATTAAATGGCAAGCAGAAATGAAAAACTCAAATCTAATAATTAGGTTTTCTTTTTAAACCTGTGTCCTGTGGCCCATTAAAGTAGAGAATACCTATTTTCAGCCTGCAGATAGAAATTATTGATTTCACTGTGGCCACTGAAACTTAATGACACAAATACAGATCTTTAATAATGTATACAGCGACCCTGGATATCTTTCCACGTGAAAATGTTATCTACTCTGTTCACAAAATGCCATCTAACAATAGTGTAAGAAAATATTTTTGAAATTTGAAAAGATTTCTTGCTTTGTGAAGCAGAAAGTCATTGTGAATGTATATTAAAAGCTGAACATCAAAAGGAAGTGGCAATATCCATTTTAGCAAGATCAAAGTGCACTAATCTCACTGCCATAAAACTGCAATGTAAACACTATGAAAGGTAAATAGAATTGAGAAGGATTCTTGCATCTGCATAGCTTAAGTGGTATGCCTTTGGGGAAGAAACTTTGTATTTACAGATACCACGGCCATTTTGCAATGTCCTCAGCACATAGTGGAAGCTGAACAAACAATCACATTTACTAATCTTGGGCCAATGCTATCATGTGAAGCATGGAATCTTTAGTCATGATAACAGCAATAAACGCTGAGTAAATACACCACTCTTCTCTCTTTCCCCTTTATACCTTTACCACCCCCTTGACATTCTTCCATACCTCATCCCACAGATGGCATTTCTTGCAAAATTCACGTTTGGGCACCACCTGCCACTTGTAACAGTACCACTCTGTTGAAATATTTTTAGCAGCTGCAAATTAAACTGTCCTTCAGGTGCAATCTTACACTTAATGAAAATGACACCTTGGCACAGGACACGCGGCTGCACTTATGATTCATTTGGCAGCTTGAGCTTATTTAAATAATGAATGCATTTTGCTGCTCTCAGCATTAGAATCAGACTGAATGTCTAGTACAGCAACATTTTGACCAGCATTTGGCTGGACCTATCCCTTCCACCAACAAGCCCCCCAAAGGACAAGAACAAAAATATTTTTTCTGAGAATGAATCAAATGTACAGAATGATTAATTAAGGCATTTGGGGTATCTGTAAATTTAAAAGTTGGGATACATATTGGTTTTCTAGGACACAAATTACATAAATTTCATTTGTAAAAAGGGTGGAATTAATAATTATAAACTCTCTTGCACAAGTGCTGCGAGGCCTAGTTAATTTCATAACACGAACCACTCAGCCAATCCTCTTGTAAAACATGTCAGAGGTTGCAGAGCAGGGAAGGCGGAACATATAACCCCACTGCAGAAAAATGGCAGAAATCCCCTCTCTCTCTGAATCAACAGGAACACCACCTATGAAAGGAAAAAACAAGGCTTTAAAATGTAGATAGTGCCGGGCGCTATGGCTCACGCCTGTAATCCCAGCACTTTGGGAGGCCGAGGCGGGTGGATCACGAGGTCAGGAGATCGAGACCATCCTGGCTAACACGGTGAAACCCCGTCTCTACTAAAAAATACAAAAAAGTTAGCCGGGTGTGGTGGCGGGTACCTGTAGTCCCAGCTACTCGGGAGGCTGAGGCAGGAGAATAGCGTGAACCCGGGAGGCGGAGCTTGCAGTGAACGGAGATCGCGCCACTGCACTCTAGCCTGGGCAACGGAGCGAGACTCCGTCTCAAAAAAAAAAAAAAAAAAATTAGTTCACAGAAATATACATACACATTCTTTTCTTCACACTTTAAAGGAGGTCCCAGTGACATTATAACTAT
Organism: Homo sapiens; assembly: GCF_000001405.40. Classification (NCBI taxonomy): domain Eukaryota; kingdom Metazoa; phylum Chordata; class Mammalia; order Primates; family Hominidae; genus Homo; species Homo sapiens. Next base: position 84,024,104 of record NC_000007.14, read on the forward strand.
GAAGGAAAACTCTTTCAGAAAGCAACATAAAAAGAAGCAAGTATTTCCTTCACTGTACTTATATAAAAACTGTTCTGTGATAGGATTCAGAGAAAATGGGTAGAAATTAGGCTTCTCCCAGTCACTAGATTTGTTACTTCAAAAATAACAACTTGGCTGGGCGCGGTGGCTCACGCCTGTAATCCCGGCACCATGGGGAGGCCAAGGCGGGTGAATCACTTGAGGCCAGGAGGTTGAGACCAGCCTGGCCAACATGATGAAACCTCGTCTCTACTAAAAATACAAAAAAAAAATTAGACGAGTATGGTGGCACACACCTATAATCCCAGCTATTCGGGAGGCTGAGGCACGAGAATTGCTTGAACCCAGGAGGCGGAGGTTGCAGTGTGCTGAGACCGCACCACTGCACTCCAGCCTGAGCAAGAGAGGAGACTCTGTCCCTGCACACCCAATGCCCCCCCACAATAAAAGAAAAAAGAAAAAAAATCAACTAGCCTCAGTTACTTGACTATCAGAAAGTACATATCTTTGAGGAGTGTTGGGAGAATTAATTAGGGAATACACATACATCTATCTATCTGCCAATGCCAAGCATATTATTGGTCTTCAAAATTGCTAGCTGTTATTATTTTATAACATTGTTTTTAAAACTTTGTGAAATATTGTATACAAATGTATGTTTAAAAGTTAATGGTAACATAAGATCAGGTGCGGTGGCTCATGCCTGTAATCCCAGAACTTTGGGAGGCCGAGGCAGGTGAATCACTTGAGGTGAGGAGTTCGAGACCAGCCTGGCCAATATGGTGAAACCCCGTCTCTACTAAAACACAAAAAGTAGCCGGGCATGGTGGTGGGCGCCTGTGGACCCAGTTACTTGGGAGGCTGAGGCAGGAGAATCTCTTGAACTCAGGAGGCGGAGGTTGCAGTGAGCCGAGATGGTGCCACTGCACTCCAGCCTGGGTAACAAAGCGAGACTCTGTCTTTAAATGAATAAATAAATAAATAAAAATAAGTAATGGTAACATAAACTTAGATTACCAGTGGAAGCAAGTTGGTAGCTGATAAGGATTCTAAAAACCTGCTAAAGACAACTAAGATGAACAAAGACTAATTATAAATTATGTAAATTATAAAACTATATTAATATTTCCAATATCACAGCCTCAGGCTTCAAAATATTTACAAAGAAACTAGCTGGGAAATTGGTAATGGGGAATAATTATCACCAGATGACTGCCAGCACACCAGGATGGCAGCCACAGTGACTGGTTTCTTCCCTTTTCAGCTATGCCACAACATACAGAAAACAAAAGCCCCAAAGAATCAATAGACCATGAATGGGAACTTTCAGCACATTAAGAATGCAGGGAATGCAACATAAGGTCATCTCACATTCTTAGCTAACAGCCTAAGCAGAGGAGATATATCATTTTTGGCTGTGGAATAGAATAACCTCTGGCTGCCAAGGAACGGGCCTGGAAAAACTTCTGATGCTAGCTGGCTGGGAAACTGTGAATAGCCTTTGGGATAGTTTAACCCAAGAAAAGTTCAAGATGAGTCACATCAGGAGAGAGAGAAGGGCTGATTAGAATGAAAGATAAACACAGAAGGCAAGTGAAAATAATAGATACTGTTTATTGCACCCTTTCCTTCTGTACTATCTGCATTATCTAATCCACACATACCCCAGAAAGAAATCCTGGGATTAAGACCCAGCGAATGTTCAAGGTACAAACTAGTAACTGGCAGAGCCAGGGCATAACAAGAGCCGAGTTCCTTCTACTGCCTCAAGCTACATGGAGTGTTTGCACCTATGTAATTTGCAATATGTCTCTAAGTTGCATGTACTTCTACACTATTTGGTTATTTGATTTACTATTTTAATATACTTTTTAATCATTAATCAAGAGAATAGTGGGAAAGATTGCTACCTTCTAGCACTACAAAATAAGTCTATTTGAACTAAATGGTCATAACCAAAAGCAACGGTTCGTAGTTTTCCTCAAAAAGGCAAATGACGGAATAAGAAGTGAAAGGCTTTGGGATATTGGACTTACAAGCATAAATACATAAAGTCATCACGAACATCACTGTGGTGTGGAGTGCCCTCAACTCTGTACCTTAAATCAAATTAAGTACCTCGTATCTCTTATTCAACCCTGACTTTGAGGAGAAAATGTTTTTCCACCTTCATCTTTTCAGTTTCATCTCCCATATCTATTTAACTGGCAATTACTACCAATTCTCTACTAATAATTTTTAGAATATTTTTCACTTATTTATTTGTTTTCTATTAAAAGTCTTCTCATCTCTCTCCTAAAGTATTGATGTGACCTCTAGAAAGAGTCCCCTGCTTTGAACTACCATGCAACCCAGTGAACCCATTACTAGGTATATACCAAGAAGAATATAAATCATTGTACCATAAAGACACATGCACATGAATGTTTTTTGTAGCACTGTTCACAATAGCAAAGACATGGAATCAACCTAAATGCCCATCAATGACAGACTGAATTTAAAAAATGTAATTAGTGCATGTACACCATGGAATACTATGCAGCCATAAAAAGGAATGAGATCATGTCCTGTAGGAACATGGATGGGGCCGGAGGCTCTTATCCTTAGCAAACTAACACAGGAACAGAAAACCAACTACTGCATGTTCTCACTTATAAGAGGCAGCTAAATGATAACCACTTATGAACACAAAGAAGGGAACAGACACTGGACTCTACTTGAGGGTGGAGGGTGGGAAAAGGGAGAGAAGCAGAAAAAAATAACTATTGGGTACTAGGCTCAATACCTGAGTGATGAAATAACCTGTACAACAAACCCCTGTGACACGAGTTTACCTATAAAGCAAACCTTCACGTGTACCCCCAAACCTAAAATAAAAGTTAAAAAAAAAACTGCAAGCAAAATTATGTGTGTGTACCTACAAAAAAATGGACCATTGCTTTAAATAATTTTCTTCCAAATCAATATTTTACAATATTTACAAGGTATATCTCTAAATATACACAATTTTTTAATGGTTTTTCATTGACTAAGCAAATTCAGATGCCTTTAAAAGACATGCAATGTCTCTGCTACCTAGTCCCTGGATATACCTAATTCTAGGCTTGTTCCCAGTTGAATTTCCTTGTATCCTCCTATCTTACCACTTGGGATTCCCACAACTTTTATTCTTAAATTACTTTATTTATGAAAATTCCTTTACCAAGAATCATGACAATTTTTCAAGACCATTTTCAAATATATTTCACGAGTTCTTTCTCTAAATTTGTCAGGTGGAAATTTATCTTCTGCATTTTTATAATACAGTATTTTGTTGGATTTTCAATGAGTTACCAGCCAACCAGCACTAGTTTATTCTTTAGAGCAATACAAATCTGGGTTTCTATTTCTATTTCACTAAGTTTTTTGTTTGTTTGTTTGTTTTTAGTTAGAGTTTGCCATTCATCTTTGAATCCTCTCTAGTTCCTAACAATATATTACCCTTTAGGATACTTGGTTACTTGAACTCAAACAGACACTATTATATATACTTACATAATTGGCTTATGGTTTACAAACTGCCTTCATGGAGATGAGGTGGCAGTGTTAAGAAGCTGTCACAGTATCCAGTTTAGCTCCACCATTCAGTTACTGTGTGACCATGAGCAAGTTAACATCTCTGTCTTGAGTTCTCACTCATAAAGTGAGAATTTGGAGACATTATAAAGATAATAGAGCTGATACACCTGGACTTAGAACAACATACTATTGTGAAATATCTATCTTTATTGTTATCCCATGGTTGATTACTTCTGCTTCATTATTAAGAAATGTGTTTACCACCAAAAATCATTTTCTAAAAGTGTGTTATTGACGTCATCAAAATACAAGTATTCTTTCTGAAAATTGAAGTGGAAGACATATCATTATTAATCATGTAAGAAGGGTGTACCGATGTCCGAAGCTACTTTGTCTTAATAAAAAGAAAGATGATTGATGAATGGAGAGAGGAGTGATTGGAGAGACACACGATACATTGCAGTAAATTGTAAATTTATAGAATCTAGGTGGAAGACAAAGGTTTATAGCTGTAAAATTATTTTAACTTTCCTGTATTTGAAATTTTTCATATCAAAATATTAGAAAAATACTTTTATGCTTCCCAAAAATAAAAAAGTAGCATTTGTTTTTAACATTCAGGAAAGGTGAACTTAGGTGAATATGAGGACTAAGGCAAAACTAAGAAAATACAATATGTAAATACAATAATTATAATGGGTGATAAATGATATCATTTAGTTTCTTTTACTAGTACTGTCATTATCCTAATGATTCACACTTATCCATAAACTGGAACAAAATCAACAAAGTATGTTCTTTTTACTTAAATATTATGGTCTTTAACATTTTATAATTCAATAGAAAACTTTTTATAATGTAACTGGCTATATGCTATAGAATTACTTTTGAAAATTAAATGTATAATAAAGTTTGTTTGTTTAATTTATTTATTTATTTTGAGATGGAGTCTCACTCTGTTGACCAGGCTGGAGTGCAGTGGCACGATCTCGGCTGACTGAAACCTCTGCCACCTGGGTTCACGTGATTCTCCTGCCTCAGCCTCCCGAGTAGCTGGGACTACAGGCGTGTGCCACCACCCCCTGCTAATTTTTATTTTTATTTTTTTTTGTATTTTTAGTAGAGACGGGGTTTCACCATGTCAGCCAGGATGGTCTCAATCTCCTGACCTCGTGATCTGCCCGCCTCGGCCTCCCAAAGTGCTGGGATTACAGGCGTGAGCCACAGTGCCTGACCATAAGGTTTATTTTTTAAGACAATTAATTCTGTCACATTTCAACTTTGCATTTCTATATTATTGATTGACTGATTCCCATCCTGATATCTCAGAATAACTTTTCTACCATGGTGAATGAATGCCTCAAACTGAATTGCAGGAATATAGTGCTGAGCACAAAACATGTTTCAAGGAAAGTGCTGGGCATATTAACCTAATTTAGACTAAATGGATATATCAAAATTTATATAACTTTTTTTGTTATTTTACATCATGATTTGATAATTATTATCTACTAAATCGTGACCTATGCTTAAACTCTTTTATCTTGTAAGTATGTGGTGTTTTCTAATGACTGTTTAAGAGACAATTCTTCAATATTTCAATGTGGAATGACATAATTATGTGCCTTTAAAAAAGGATTTTTACAGTGCTTTTTGTCCATTGCAGATTGTGAAAGTTGCATATAATATCTTGTTATTTACAAGTTCACTACAAATAATGATTTAGAGATTTGTATTTTATAATGTTAAATATGGATTCGAAGGATTTCAATGTGTTTTGATTAATCTAGCTACTTTAACTATAATGTTTATAGGCATTTCTATAATATTTGGTTATTTATTCCTTCTTAACTGCAGGAAGCTGCCATATTTACAGATGCTTCTTTGCATTAGGTCTTCAATAAATAAATTCATATTGTAAATGTATTCATCCATCATCAACTGTCCTTTCATAATTTACATTATTATGCTTTTGAATTACATTAGGTATAAACCTAGTGTGTGATTAGATTATATGCTCTTGTCATTTGAGAATATCTGATATAATTTCATTCAGAAAATAATCTCTAGGAACAATTTTTTTATTATCTCATAAGGTTACACATTTGCACACACATCCCTTCCATATACACACACACACACACACACACACACACATTTTAGAAAGTAGTAATTTGGATATTGACTTTGATTACATTTAAAGACACGAAGACAAAACAGATGTTTTTAATGAGTTTCTATAAAATTGAAAAGATTTGAAGGAAAAGATGATCGTCTTTTTACATTGTCAACGTAAGACATGTCAATATAAAAGAAAATTAAGTGGAATATAAATAAAAACACACTTCTCTTTAAAAACAAAATTATCCTCTCAGTGTGGCTCATGTTCAAGAAGTAATTAAAACATTTTTCTACAATGCAATTAAAAATAACTTTTGAACTTGGATGAAGTAAACCAAGGCAGCAAACCTTCATATCCTACAGCTAAATAATATAGAACTTTCTATTTAGAAAGCCTTTGCTCTGTGATAGCAAGTAATTTATATGATTTTACTTAATCAATGACTTCACACTAAAACCTTCTCTTTAAAGGGAAAATTGGTAGTGATTCAAGAAACATGGTATTTCCTAACCTACCTCATTTTTAAATTAGAGCACGTTTTTCTTCCCTTTGCCAGGAAGTTCATCAAATTTTTAGACAGTATGCTTACTCTGCTTTATGAAATGAGATGAAACAAGTACATTTAAGTGTGTGTGATTTATTTTTTTAAAAGTTTCAGTGCTTCAGCAGGAGCTAAAAAAAATTGAACACACCAAAAAGATATAGTACAGGCATGATTTAAATCTCTGAGAAGAAAGAAAATATACCAATTCTTCCTTTCAACTCTTTCTGCAATCCACAGTCATATCTCACTCATTGGTTATGTTTAAAATAAGGAGTCTAGATAAGTTTAAGATGCATCTCATATACACATATATGTTTTTGAAAGAACAATTATAATAACAGATTCCTTGAATTAATAACGTATTTTTATCCATTAAGAACTTTAATTGGGATTCAACCCTTTCTTCACTATGTTAAGAACATTTTCTTCTTCTCCTAGCTAACATATTTAAATTGATCAGAAAAACAATGATTTTATCTAATTTTTAACACTGTACTTGGAAAAGCACATATTTCATTTTAAATATTAAGTTAATGAACTGAGCTAAGAAAATTCTTTAATAGGATAGATTGTATAATTTTATTTGGAATATTTGGATATTCATAAATATATTTGCTTCTAGTGTTACTTTTGGTCAAGTTTTTTTTTTTTTTTTTTTTTTTTGAGACGGAGTCTTGCTCTGTCGCCAGGCTGGAGTGCAGTGGTGCCATCTCAGCTCACTACAACCTCCGCCTCACAGATGCAAGCGATTCCCATGCCTGAGCCTCCTGAGTAGCTGGGACTACAGGTGTGTGCCACCACGCCTCGCTAGTTTTTTGTATTCTAGTAGAGACAGGGTTTCACCATATTGGCCAGGATAGTCTCGATCTCCTGACCTTGTGATCCACCTGCCTCAGCCTCCCAAATTGCTGGGATTACAGGTGTGAGCCACCGTACCTGGCCCTGTCCAGTATTTTTATTGGTGATATTACAACCTCATGTAAGTTGGATGACTTGAAAATCTTTTTCATCTTTGTCTATGCTCTAAAATGCTTCTTAAAGGTTTCATATAATTTTCTGGCCAAAAAATTCTATACATGAGTCAAAGATAAACTGATTGACAATAAACATGGTCAAAAACCAAACAAACAAAACCACTAAGCAATGGAAAAACAAAAGCAAATACGTAATAATAACTTATTGTTTTTTGTATTAAAGTGTCCTGGCTGGGTGCGGTGGCTCACGCCTGTAATCCCAGCACTTTGGGAGGCTGAGGTGGGTGGATCACCTGAGGTTGGGAGTTCGAGACTAGCCTGACCAACATGGAGAAACCCCGTCTCTACTAAAAATACAAAAAAATCAGCTGGGTGTGGTGGTGCATGCCTGTAATCTCAGCTACTCGGGAGGCTGAGGCAGGAGAATTGCTTGAACCTAGGAGGCGGAGGTTGTGGTGAGCCGAGATTGCGCCATTGCACTCCAGCCTGGGCAACAAGAGTGAAACTCCATCTCAAAAAATAAAAAATAAAAAATAAAGTGTCCTAAAATATAAGCAGATATTAAATTTATGCTTTCTTTCCTCTGAAAAATAGGTCAGAATCTACAGATAAAAACATTGGTATTTGTGAATTCCAGTAACTGTTTTATTCAAAATAAAAAAAATTGTCAAATAATCATAAAACTTACTTTGTCAAAAATTGTTGAATACATAGTCTCACAAAACATTTACACAGTGAAATAAAAAGTTAATTTTATGCAAAATGGAGGTTTGTTTTGATGGCCACCTGTTTCCTAGGGCATGCTAGGAGTTCAAGTGCTCATTAGAGGATGCATTGGCAGTGCGGCTTGTCCTCCGAGTTGCCCCTGATTAGTCCCTAGGGGTCTAGTGAAAGGGAGATATCTATAAGAATGTGGCCTGATTCTTAAAATAAAATAATGAGTTAGGGACCAGGAAAGATTTAGGTCAATTTTTATTTGACACAGACCATGGCAACTTTTTAATAACATGAATGCGATTATAGATAGAACCTAATTATACTGATTGCTACACAAGAGGAGCTTCAGCACTTCTATTATTCGATGGTCAAAAAATGTTCTCAAAAACACCAGAAATTCAGGATCTCTACAAAGAAGAATAACATGTTTAACTGCAATATAATTAGCAGTTTCTATGGCTTTTGTTCAGAAGAGACAATAATAGTTTTGATTCTTGAAAATGCCTAATTATATGAAGAAGGAAATTCAAGGCAGAAAAGCAGATAATTTATAGCATAATTTTCTAAGTAATTAGAATTCGTGCAAAACAATTCTTATCACACATTCTGTTTAATCTGAAAGATCTTATTATCCTTTAAGAAGTAAGAATTCAAATTTAACATTAACTACCATGTTTTTTGAACTTTTCTAATTGTAATATATTGAAAATAAATAATAATTATTTATTTATTTAGTATCCTATCTTGGTGAACTAAATAGTACAAAAGTTGCTATATTTACATGAATTTGAAGAGTTCTTTTTATATTGGGGAAGTGATATTTTATTTATATAAATCATATTACATAGCTATAAAGTTTAAGGTTATGACATAAAATTTAAAGTTGTAACATAAGATGTATAATTTGTGGTTTCATATTTGAGTTTTAAGTTGTTGTTTTGCACTAAAAATCTTCCTTGTTTTTCTTTACTGAGAGCTTCTGACAAAAAGATGTTTACAGGGAAAAAAATTGCAAATTACTACATATTGTAAATACTATTGGCTGTTTTATAACTATTTATTATTTAAAATACACCATTAGTCTTTGTGTGGTTCCAGTTAAAGACAGTTAATTCATAATAACCTCTTCTGAAAACAACTGTTTTAAACCACTGTACTTTGAGACTTTTCTTGAAACCCAAAAGTCACAACCTCTACTACATATTTTTAAAATTCTTAATATGTAGTTATGGAAAATTTTTAGGCTGTCATAAAGAGCATTTTTTTCTAAAAAGAAAAATTTAAAAGCAAAAATTTCTAAGAGTGCTAGCAGCTGTATTAATCTGACACTGTCTCAGTGAAATGGTTCGAGCAGTGTTAGATGGGCTTTCATTGATTGTTGCTTGAAAATCCAACATAGCTGTTCAAAGAACACACTTAGCCTATGTTCTTATCTTCCCAGCTTAAATGGAATAAGCCACTAATTTGAGATGGACAAAGAATTTAGCCCTCTTAAATTGCAAAATTTGAATTAGATCACAAATGAGCAGTAAATTGAATCTAAATAATAACACATCTGCCCTGTCATACACATTATTTTGTGCTAAAAGTAGGGATATAAAATAATCTATTCAGGTAGAAGGGAACAAAAACCACTTTTATGTCGCTTTTAATAATCAAAAGTATAATATACTTTGGTAGTTTAGTTGAGTCCTTCTCAAGTTTTAATGTGGGCTCTTGATAGGTACAGATTCTCATTCAATACAACTGGGTGGGCCCTGAGAGTCCACATTTTGAACAAGATCCCATGGATGCACATCCTTTTAGTTCAAGGGCCACACACGTAGTAGCAGGGGTCTATACAAGCTAAGATTTCAGTGATTTTACTATGTATAAATAACACAGATCTTTGGTTTGTGAACTATGGCATGATAGAATCCTTCAACTTTGGCAATTTTTTGTTTTTAATTTTTTTTTTTTTCCTAGGCAGAGTTTTACTCTGTCATCCAGGCTGGAGTTCCCTGGTGTGATCTCAGCTCACTGTCACTTTCGCTTCCCAGGTTCAACTGATTCTCCTGCCTCAGCCTCCCAAGTAGCTGGGACCATAGGCACATACCACCACACCTGGCTGATTTTCGTATTTTTAATAGAGACAGGGTCTCATCATGTTGGCTAGGCTGGTCTCGAACTACTGATCTCAAGGGATCCGCCTGCCTCGGCCTCCCGAATTACTGAGATTACAGGCATGAGCCACTGCGCCTGGCCTGGTATGGTCTTTTATCTTATCTTGGAACAGTATATATCTGACTCGACAAACATTCCTTACATGTAAATATTTTGCAAATTGCAGAAATATGCAAATTTTTAACATGATAAAATTAATTTCATAAAATTAATGGCAAAATTAATTTATTCTCAGTTATCACTAAATTTCAGTTTACAACTAACTTTTTGCAGAATACTTAATTTGATTATCTATAGTTTGGAAGTGATCTTGTAGATAGCACTTTGAAGATAATAAAATACAATACAAATACATGCTCTCTGTTGTTCATGATTATTTCAAATATTTACTTCTGTAAGACTGCCAATTTTTCAAATATTGCTTTTAATGATAAACTTTCAAATACTCAGTGTAATAACACCAATGTCACGACACCTAGGCAATTTGGTGGGTACAGTTCTAAATTGCTGCTTATGACTATAATGAAGTATTATTGGTCTTTGTTCAGTGCAGGCAGTCCATTAATCCTATTTCCTGTTTTTTTGTCTTTTTTTTCCCCTTATTTGACTGCTCATATGGAGTTGTTTGCGTAGGTACCTCATCAAGACTAATAAAGGTTTTTCTAAACTAATCTGATACTTCCAACTTTCTTTTGAATAAGCACGTTTCCTCTCATTTTATTTTATTAGCACAAAGAAACGGTTTCCACTATCTTTATAAATTAAATTTAAGTTAGGTTTACTTTCTAGTGGAACTACTATTTTCTACCTTTTCCCATAAAATAACTATCAGAAAATACCTAGAATCATTATTCCTGGACAATGCTGAGTTTTCTATAATTAGATATTAATTAGAATAAAATTATTAGACCATCTATAAGACATGTTATACATACATTTATTAGTTAAAAACAACAAAGAAAATATATTTCCCTATCTTTTGAAATAATATGCCTCCAGATCTTACTGAGACCAATGAAAATGCTTAGAGATTTTATGTAAATAGAAAGGCAATTTAAAAAATATGCCAACAAACACAATTTACACATTTACATAGTAAAAACCAAAGAAATTGGGAAATGACTATGCATTTTATTTCTTTAATCATAAAATAGGAAGGCAGTAAAATTACTGGCATGTAAAAATTCTCTAGCAAATAACATGTTAAATATTTATTGTCCATATTGTAGGAGTATTATTGTGTTTATCATTGATTAAGATGAAAAAAATTACTTAAGAAAATTATTTAGAACATGTATTTTTTAAGTTCTTATTTATTCATTCCTTTAAATAATCAAAGAAAAAATTAAAATCTTAAAGCAAAATAAAACCCCTTAACTCTGAGAAAAATGTCTGGATCAAGAACCATGATTATTCCTATTAATTAATTTATTATCATTTTTCGTGTGGCTTTTAAAGTGCAGAGACCAGCTGAAGAGACCTTATTTTACTGTGATGATAGTCCAGGGTGTCAGTTATCGAGCTTCTACTGAATAGAAAAGAATACTGTTTCTGGTTTCTCCCCACTCTCTGATTACTTCTTTCTAAACACCAATCTACTTTTCATCTCATTATTTTTTCTATGATTCCTGTTCACAATTTACTTATAGTTAGGGACATTTGTCACTGAGATAACACAATTTAAAAATCTACAATCATATAATCTAGAAATAATATACAGTTTTTCTGGTTCCAACTGATTCCCGTCCTTTTCTTCAAAACTTAAAACAATAATTTCCAATTTCTTGTTTTGAACTCTCTTCTACACACGCTTTCTAAGAGAAGACTGGGTGTATTTAGACAAAGGAAAGCTGCCTCATAAATTGTCATGTCCTGCTTTCATTTTATAGTGAAATCCCCACTCTGTAGTTGTGATACTAGATTGAGAGCCTGAAAATCAATGGAATCCAAAAATTTGTTTAATCTAAAGGGAGATGGATAGTAACTCCTCCCTTACTCTATGAGTTAAACAATGGTTTTGAGATATAAAGACATTTTGGAAATATATGAATATGATCCTATAGATGTATTAAGACTTCTAGGGTTTTTCATTAGATAAAAAGTACTATGATTTTATCCTGGAAGGCAGGGTTTTCACTTAATTTTGTTTCTTATAACAGTTCCTTGAACCTAGTGGATGCTATTTGCATTTAAAAAAATGGAAGTTGCCAGAGTACATATTGGTAGCTACCAAATGTAGTTCATACACTGTGCTATTATCAGTGATTCTGGGAGGACTTATATCAGCAGTAGGGAAATGAGAAGAGAATAACATTCTGTGTAACTGGGGTGATTTAGAAACCTAAATTTTCTACAGGTAAATAGAAACATTGTTGAATGAGAGGAGAAGAGACTAGACTTGAGAATATAAAAATACTTACTGAAAATCAAAAATTTAAAAAGAAACAAATTGATAAACAGTAACTGAAATGAATAGTTTAATCTCTGTAGAAAAATACCTAGTCTTAACTTCTCATTAATAATGTAGCTATTTTACCTCTATCATATTATATTACATAGTATCTTAATTGTTTTTACGGACAACCATATGGTCAGATATAAAATGGTAATCTGAGTATTCTTAGGAATTAATATATGTTCCAGTAACATTTTTTTAATGTTTTGAGCTTATAAAAAAGTCCTTAAGTATGTATCACCTGTAACTTGCATTATAAAATTGAGAGTTAAACCTTTGGATAGGAGACTATATGGTACAGTTTGGGGATATTTATTTCAGTTTGTTGATGTCATTGATTTTATTAAGATGATACATGTTTAATATAATCAAGTAATGACAAAAATCTCATCAGGAAATTATTATTAACCATTAGGAATTATTTTCTTTTTTCCCTTTCTTCCTTCCTCTCCTTCAACATTCTTTGCAGATTCCTTCCAAACAGCTAAGTTTTTTTTCTTTTTTTCAATTTTGTTTTCTCTTAAGGATTACCTGTTTTCCTACCCTACAGAATATGTAATAATTCCAATTAATCAATGAGAATAGCAACACCAGTTTTCCATAAATACCCTTATAAATGTATGGGAAAGCTCTCTGTGATATCAAAGCCCTGGCATCTTTTGTTTATTTGTTGTTGTTGTTGTTGTTTGAGACACGGTCTGGCTCTGTCACCTAGGCTGGAGTGCAGTGGCATGATCATGGCTCACTGCAGCCTTGACCTCCCAGGCTCAGGTGATCCTCCCATCTCAGCCTCCCAAGTAACTGGGACTACAGATGCATGCCACCATACCTGCCTAATTTTTAAATTATTTGTAGAGATTATTATTTGGATTTAAAATAATTCAGAGAAATCTGTAAACACGTTGAAAAGTTACATTTTTGATGAGTGTCTTATGCTATTAGCCTACGTTAAATCTAACAATAATTAAAATTTAGCAAATCTTCAAGCAAAGTAATAAAAACCATACTTCTAATGACAAAACTGCACCCATATTAATTTATAAAATTACTACTAGAAACAAATTATGATTTATTTTAAAAGTATAACTCTATTTTTGAATAGATTTTTAAAGTAATAATAATAACAAATATATAATGGTATACAATTTAAAATGCAAAATGTATATGATAATAAGAAAGTACCATAGGAAACTGATATACGGCTGAGAACAAGGACTTTGATATTCTCTTGTCTAATTTCTTTAGTCATGTAGTAACCCATATATTTCTACCTTGAAAATGTTTATTTTAAGGGCATCTAGATACACATCTTCTTTACCAGTATTATTGGGGAAACATTTTTAAAGACCCTTTACCTGAATAACATTTTTAGTTGATATATGAAGCTTAGAACATTTTTAATGCTTTTTTGTCATGTGTAAGTAACTTAGCAATAGGTATGTCACTAAGCTTAGAAAAATGCTTTTTCTTTTTATGGAAGCAGAGTCGATTTACTTTCATCAAAATGAGCAGACACCATTAAGCAAGAATTCCTGTATGTATAGATTCAGTCTAAGGAAAGGACATAGATCACTATCACTTCATCTGGTCTTGTTTTCCCTACGCCACTTTGATTGCTTTCCTAGAAATATGTGGCTGCACAGTTTAATGAGACTGTGCATTTTACTACATTTTTAGCAACTCAGTATATTTATGTATTTTAATTGTTCCATTCATTAAAATTCTTACACAATATTAAGACAACATCAATTGAATTTTTTTATTTTTGTAGTAGTTATTTTTCCAAATGCATTACATAAATTAATTCATATGTGATTCTCGTAACAACCAAATGAGAGAGAAACTGCAGTTATTCTCATTTGAAAAGGAGAAATTGATCACAGAGAGCTTACACTAGATCACAAAGAGATCTCTTTACAGTTGCCGAAGTCAGACAGTAGGTCTCCATGCTGTTAACAATCATCCCAAAGATTATAGTTGATGACCCCTCATGAAAAATTTAAACGTTAAACTGTGATGTAGCAGGAGAGTCATAAGTGCAGTTAATGTCTTCTTAACTAATTTATTGAAAAAAATTTAATGGAGAATTAACCTAATTGTTTATTTAAGTTTATTAAGTTATAAGTATTGTACTTACTAGAGATAAATTAACACGTACAGAAACACATTTCATTACAATTTAGCCTTGGCTATTGTTTATAATTTCATTGTTTCATCTTCTAATTTTGTAAAACACAATGTGTTTTATGATTTTAATACTGAAGCTAAAACTACTACTAGAAACATATTACATATTCCTGATGTACTAATTTCCCCACATAATGATAGTAGCTATCAATTAAAACATAATCAAATAGCTTGACAACATTTTAAGGAAGACAAGCATAAATTCCAGAGTTGTTTGTTGTATCAATTTACTAAATATGTATTGTCTACTTTGCATAGAGGTGTATATAGGTAACAGCAGCAGCAATCACAGTTAACATGAGCATTTACTATATTATCAGATACTGTTCTAATTACCCTATATACACTGTCTCATGCATTCTCAGAAAAACAGTATGAGATATTACTATTAACCCTTTCTTACAAACCATAAATGTGTGGCAAATATAAATAACTTAAATGACTCCCAAAGTCACGTAAGTAATAAATGGAGGACCTGGGATATAAACTGAGGCAGATTAACTTTAGGGCCCATGAAGAGATTCATTAGTTTCTTATTTCATATATCGTAGGGTAAGAGGCTGGATGTTAGGCCCTGTGATAACTACAAACATACATCTATCTGGTCTTGGGGTTCAAAGGTGGAAACACTTAAAATCCCATGGGCAAATGGTAAGGCTATATGAAAAAGACAGCAAATTTGAGGGCCACCAGCTCTATTTGATTTGAGTATGGTAGAGTTTAATATTGGAGAGGTCACTTAGGATTAGATGATAAAGGACTTGACAGGCAGCAGAATCTGGATTCAATTTGCTTGTAAATTGAGAGACATAAATGATTTTTGAACAGGAGAGTATTGTGATAGTAATCAGTGCTGTATTTAGGGAGAAATCTATCAGTTATATCTAAAAAATGTACATATGGCTTAAAGTGTTATGCAACTTATAAAATTAAGCATAATCAATAACTTTATTAAAATAAATTTTAATTAATAAAAAATTGCATCCAGAATTTGTGCTAAGCCTGCAGACACAATTTCTAGGTATAATTATCTAAATTGATATTTGTAAAAATAAATATGAGAAAATATATTCTCATAAGTCAACATTTCCCTCTGTCTCAGTATTCATTTTATAGGGCATCTGAGAATTATATCTTATATAATAGTAGAGTAGATATATGAACACATATTTTATCAACATGGAAAGGCAGGTTATTTTGGAACTTTAAAAAATTTAAATATTATATGACCTTTTGAGATATTGTCATTAATATCTTCCACTGTGAAAGTTCCTGAAATCTTCTATTCTGAAAGTATTTGCATCAAACCTGCATTGAATATTTCATAATATTGTAAACCCATTCCTTTCACTCAGAGTGATTAGGGTATAACAAGTGGCTTTTTTTTTTTTTTCTGGTCAAAACTCTCCATTCCATTAAAATTCAATGGCATTGCTTCCCATCATTCAGCTTGATCTGGGTAAAATCCTTTAATTCCCCAGCCCCTGCTGTTGGGGAGCTCTAGGCTCATCACACTTAACCTCTGCCTGGGCTTCTCAGAATAGAATTTGTTTCACCCCATTCATAGCTTCAATAGTTGAGCAAGCCACACGCAAGTGCACACTGGTCTTTTACCCTGAGCACACTAATCTGATTGTTTTTCCACTCTACAAACTCTGGGTCAACAATCAAGCTGCCGCCAGAAACTAATTAATTTGCAAACAGGCTTCTGTTTTCACAGAGGGAAAGCTTTTGAGAGCCATGTCAGGGAGGCCGGTCACACCATGGTTACATGCATTGTCATGGCATCCACTTCTCTTGGTAAATCTCTTGCTTGATGTCACTGCACACAGGAACCCAGATTACCCAGTCAGCAGTAAATCCCTATTGAGACCCACCAAGCTTTGAATGTAGTGACTCTAGAAGAGGAAATTGGTATAGACAGGCTGTGTATTCATTAAACTGATGGTGAGACAAGAGAGAAAAAAATGTAAAAAACAAGAGGAAAAAGGAAGCTGCCTTTGATATAAAGAATTGTCCAATATATTGTCTCATTTTTTGATCAACTTTCATTTAAAAAGCAGGATTACCTTGAGAAAATATAATAATACTTCTAAATCTTAGATTCCTACTCTCATCAACTGTTAATTTCAAAGTAAGAAATTCAAAATTTTCTGCCTATATGCCACATCTGAGAGTTGTATGTTTTAGCCCAACATTAAAAAAATTCAAATGGAAAATGTGAACAATTTTATTCAGGTCACTTTTCTTAGAAGCCCGGAAAAAATAAAACCAGTTTTCAAATATATTGCCATTAATGAGTTAATTTTTATTCCAAAGCTTTATTCATATTTCCTTATTAGTAATTTCAAAAAACTTGCTAAAAGTCTTTATGTTCCTTAGACAAAAAGTGACAGAGAAAGTATGTCCTTGATAAAGGATATCAAGTGATGGTATATTTTGGTAACTTTTAGTTCTTTATGAAAAAAAGATGTATTTAGTGATTTGATTAAATGTATTATTATTTAGAGAGTAGAATAATTTCATGGTGTATATTTATTGTTTAAAAAGATACATTTATAATGGCTGTGCATTATTTGTTGGGACGAAAATGTTTCTGAGTAATAGATTCTTGAGGAAACAAAACTACTAAGTTGTGTTTAGGTATAGACATAACTATTATTCTAAAGTTTGCATATTTGAATTTTCAGCATAATTTCAAGAAAATACCTTAAGTATTCTCATTTTATTTCTGTGACTTTATACATTGATACTCCAGAATTGCTAGCTAATGCATACACTACTTACTCATAGAATACATAATTCAAACGTTTTAAAATACTGCATTCTTGTTTTCTTCTTTCATTGACTATAAAAACTAAGAGGACCTTTGTTGTTGCTGTTGTTTTAACTGAATGATCACTCAGCTTCTCTAACACTCATCTGCTCAAATAACCATAAAACAGGCTTATAGAGGGCTTTTTCCCCAAAGGTCAGCAAAATACTATAACTTGCTTAAGCCAAAGAAATAATCAAAAATGACATCATCGTTAAGTCTGACTTTATGCAAAACTAGATGATCTGTTTTAGTTATTAAAGAAAATGCAATTGGATACTCTGACGTTTTTTATGTCTCCAAAGATAGTAAGATCGAAATAGTGTATTAAAAGAGCTGTACAAGTGTACAAGTGATTTGAGATTGGGTATCTGGTAACGTGTAATGTTAACTTGCGTATTCATAGTTTATTTGCAGTCATATGTTTCATCACTGGGTCTAGTTTTCTAAAAGCGCATGTTGTGGAGAAATTTGAATCTTAAGAGAGTACGAAATATCCTAGTACATGACCACAGAGGAAGCTACGCTGATTCCAATAAGGGCAGGCCATCAGGGTATGAATATTACAAGTGAGAGGAAGTGAAGTGATGACTTGCATACCATTTCAATTACAGAAAAAGAGCAAGTGAGTTAGTCTATCTACAGGCACGATCCTTTTAGGAAATTCCACTAAAAGAAAACAGGTCTTCCTGAAATGAGTGGGAAGGCGTCACACTCCAGGCATTGTAATTAGGTCTGTTTGTGTTCCCCAGGCCTTGGGATCCATGTGGTTTCATATATTAAACCCGACTCTGGCTGCCCTTTCACCCTGACTCAAATATAATCACTCACAGAGTGAGTCAGGCCAAGCTTCCTAAGCGTGCTCCACCCAACAGAAGTGGGATAAAGGATACTCAGATAATTAGCATTTATTAAGTGCTTACTACATACCAAGAACTTGCTCAGTGTTTTTTATACATTAATATGTGGTCGTTTTTCCACAACAACTATAGGAGATAGGTAGTACCTCTGTTCATTTTATTAATGTAAGGGCCAAAGTAAAGTGAAACCCTGCCTCATTCTAAAGATAGTCTTTCTTCCAAATCATGTATCATCCCACTATTACTCCAAGACATAAACAATATTGGAAAACAGTCTCCATCAAATAAGAAAAATAAATGTGAGCTAGAAAAATAAACTGCTCTAATGAATGGTTAATATGGACAATAACTAGGTAGTAGTATTTTCATACTAAATGTTAAGATATCATTATGATAACAGCAGCATAAACTTATTTGTTTCCTTACTATAAATATACACAGAACAATTTTACTTTATTTCCACATTAAGCTGAAATTGGAATTGAAATTTGAAATCATATAATACTGAGAGAATTTATGTAGTACAAGAAAAAAATACTGGTACATCATGCCAAACCCCTAGCAGTATATTTTCTGAAATAAAACATTGTTATAACATTTAGAAACCCTAAATTAGGGTTTATCGTAACTAATGAAGATGTTTTAAGAACGTTATTACATGTTAAAATGTAAAATACACAACAGACTCCATTGTCTGAAGT
The DNA here is from genome assembly GCF_000001405.40 of Homo sapiens. NCBI lineage: Eukaryota > Metazoa > Chordata > Mammalia > Primates > Hominidae > Homo > Homo sapiens. Next base: position 84,043,221 of record NC_000007.14, read on the forward strand.
TTCTTAATCTGAAAGTGTTATTCATTCCTAAATTTTCCTGCTAAAACTGAATTTAAACATTTATTGGCATTATCATATAAATTTTCTAATTATGAAAGTAGTGAAACTCCATTTTAAAAAATCAAGATATTTCAAGTTACAATTTTAGAGAACTGTTTGGTTGTTTGCTTTTCCTTACCAGGAACAAAAATTAAAAGTCATCTAAAATAGGTGAACTGATTCTTCCAAAAGAGTTGAACTGATTTGAGAAAAATAAAGTCCTATGCTGAAATTAATTTTAATATTCCTGAAGACCTTTAAAAACTACTTTGCAAAGCAATGTGTTAATTCTGGAACACGTATGATTGTATAGTCTATGCTGATGCCTCAAAACTCATTTATTTTATGCATGAATGTGTAAACATTGTTTTCAATTTTATTCTGTAATGGTATTTAATTTCACAAGGCTTGTGATTCAGAGTCCCTTGGTTCTATCCCAAACATATCTGTATCTTCCATCTTGCAGCAGTTCTGTTTTTTGCACCCTGTCAGATGTAACCTTTGTGCTAATTTGGAAAAATCAGTTCTCACGTTTAGTGCTGAGAGACTGATAACTGAATTCTCAAATGAACTACACATTTTCAGAGATGAAGTACAGAGCTGTGGACAATGCCTGTGTTTTCCCACAGTGTAAATTCTTCAGACTCAGCTGTCAACATGTGAGTGTGCAGCATAAAAGCAGCTTTAACTTGATGGGTTTTTTTCTCCAAGGCCATAAAAATGAAATGGATACTATACTCTCCTTTATGTTATTCCATCTTCTAATGAGATTTTGTTTCTCATGGACAGAGAAAGCCTTTATGCCCTTTAGGGTACTTAGTAGATCAAAGTCTTCTTTCTAAATAGAAAAACAAACATTTTCCCTCCCACACAAATATTTCAGTTTGAGAACAAACCAGATAGAAATGTTAAGAGAGTTTTTTTTTCCTACTAATTTTGCCTCTGCACACATCCTAGGTCTAATAATTTATATTGGATATTCTAGAATATTCCCCTGGGTTTTTGGAGTTCTGCACATGCTCTTCTCTTCATCTCAGCACCTTTTCATTTCCCTGGTGAGGCATCACATTTCTCACATGGTCACCCAGGTACCATGAGACCCCGTCTATCCCTGGTGGCAGAGGAACATTTGACTACATGTCTAATCCCCTTTGATTACCACAGTGTTTGTATGCAATCATCAATTATGTTAGGCATCATTAGCATTTTAAAGAATAAAGAAGTTATGCCAAATTTAGAGAAAACTTGGGAGAGCAAGAAATAAGGGAAGCTAAGAGAAGAGATTGAAAAAGAATGGGCTAGTTAATGATAAATACTGCAAGAGACATTGTCAAAGTAGAGATTAATAAAAAGTAATAGAAAATCATTAGTGTCCTTTGGAGGAATAATTTCATGGAAGTAATTATTGGATGAATGCCAGGTTTAAAGTAAAGGTAGTGAAACATTGAGGAAACAAGTCCTAACCAGGCTATGAACTTAGATATATTGGGACTTTGTGGCATACCATGAGAGAACAGTTTTGCATGGGATAAGTAAGATTTCAGCTTGGGGGAAGAAATCAGTGCTGAAAAAGAGATAAAGATAGCAAAGGAAATGTAAATTGGCTAAATTAACCAAAGAACATCAATGCCATTAAAAGCCAAGGCTGAAGGGTCAAACGTGGAGGCAGGGAGCATGCCTTTGTCACTACCACATGGAAAATTATAGGACATTCAGAAATGCTGTCATAGGAGGGAAGAGATGCTGATTGAGGTAATTTGAGGTATGTTTTATGTTTTGAGTAGTCACTTTGAAGTATAGGATCGATCAGAACAAAGGTTGTCACACAACTCATGGTCTCCTGGAATTTCAATGAGGTCTATAGGTAGACCTGTGATTTTTCTCTAATAACTAATGGAAGACAGAAGGAATGAACTAAATTTTGGGGTTCCTGGAATAAGGCAGGAAAACTAAGTGTGGCAGAAGTTCATAGAATGAGATATTCAGGCATCTTACTGAGAACATGACTATAAACCATAAGCCTCTTTCTTATTAATGAATTATGTAAAACCAGGAAAAATTTCATGCTTCATTCTTATGAACGAGTTATATACAAGCAGGAAAAAATTCATGGAGGGATAATTGGAGATTGGGTGGCTTTATTTTTTAAGATTGAAGGTAGGTATAAATATAGATAATTAAGTAATGATAAAAACAACCATGATTAATATAGTAGGGACCTTTATAAAAATTTTTGGTAAATGTGTAAATAACTAAAAAAAAAAGAACTCTAGGTAGAAGGATATAAAAGGATTGCTTAGTTAAAATTTTGAATAAGAGTAGTATTTATTTATTTTAGGTATATACATTTTGTGCATTTTCTGCTATGCCAAAATTATTTTCTATACTAAAAAGAAAAGAGAGTAATAGTAATAAATAATAATAAGCATCTACTTGATCAAGTAGTTAAGCCAGTGCCTGAAGTTCAGAAAACTGGGTTTCTGTTCTAAACAATCTTCTACTAGATTAGATAATAATCCTAACCTATAAATTGGGAGAGGGGTTTTAAGATGATTAAGATTAAATGTGAATCAAATGAAATCATGATTTAAAAGACATTTGAAATTTTGAAAAGACTATTAATATGTTATTCACACTGCAATAACATTCAATTTTTGACATTCACTAGTATATAAGATGACGTTTTCAAGGAAACAATAAGAGATGTAAAGGAAAAAAAAAAACTACACTGTAAGATTTGTTGTGGTGTCCCCATAAGACAGAATTGGTAAGTCATCTTATCTTTTTCCATTTCCTCCCTTCCGTAGCTCCGGTCCAGATCTTTCTTTCCATAGCTAACTACTGAGAAACTTCAACTTTGGCACTAAATGAATCTTTCCTGAATATTTAATCTCTCTTTTCTTTCTTTGCCGAACTTTCTCACACCCACCATCATGAAGTCACCACCATTAGCTTAACTGCACAATAAATTTCAAGTCATATTGCATGTACTGTAAAAGAGTTCTCTAGTAACTTAATACAGTTACACATGTTACATGTCTATGTTCTTTCATAAACCACCTACCATTGAGCCACCTGGAATCATGCTGCTCTGTCCTGATTGGGTGGTGGTGCCCAAGAGTTCGGAAGATAGCAAAGTCTCGCCCCATAAAATCAGCTGCAGTTCCAGAGTATAATTCTCCATCTGTGTTGTGACAAAACCACATACACATTCTTTAATTCAATTAAGGCAAAAACAAAACAAAACAAAACAAACAAAATGCAAGTTTCATGTTATGACCATGCTAAGAGGAAAACTGAAATGCTCTCTGCATCATTATGCAGTTACTTATTTTTTATCCTTATTGAAGGATATGTCCTTATTGAAGGAAGTATTTTATCAAATACTTATTCACTGATTTAGTGTATGACTACTTATCTAGTACTTAGAAAATCTGAATAAAGTCTGATTCAGTGAATCTTGCTAAAACATAAAATTTTATTATTTTCTACTATGACCACTGACAAACTCACAAAATGGAAACTACATTTATCATATCACTTGCTTTCATATGTGTAAAGTTACTATGGTTCTAATATCCTTATAACGTAGGGTAAGGTATCATTATAAAATCTTATTCATAGCTTTTATTCTAATGGCAATTAAATCTTTTATACACTTCTTTCTCAGTAGGATCTGAATTAATGAGATTTTGCTATGATTTAGAAATAACTAATATTTTTCTTGCCAGAATTTTTTTCTTGCTTTTTATTTTTTAATATATCTAGTGGGAGAAGTGTTTTTATTTGTTATAAGCTATCAACCAGTCCAAAAATAAGTCAACCACATGGCCTCATATATAGCAGAAATGTGTTTTAAGAGGAAGGAATTTTGACAAACCCAGATCATAATCACTCCAATGCAAGATTCCATCACTTTTTGACTCATTGCTACTTAAATTGAATTAACTCTAGGTCAGAGTTTAATAATGGAGGAATCATATCCAGACGGTAAAGAATAGAAGGGAAAAGACAAGAAGGGGGTAAAAGAGAAGTTAATATTTACTGAATTTCACTCTGTGTTTGTCAGCCAGTCGGCACTGGCTTGACACTTTCAAGTTATCTCATTTAGTTCTATTAACAATCTCATAATGTAAATAATGTTATCCTTATTTTACAGTTCAAGAAATTCAAGGTTGCTCAGCTAATGGCAACTCAAGGTGAAGGTTCAAACTCAGGTCTGTTTAATCCCAAGCCTTTTACACTAAACCATACCACCTTTCAACAAACTAAAGTTTGTAAAAATTACTCTTTCTTTCTTGGAAACAGAAAGGACCTTGTATTATCTCTTCCAGAAAACATGTAATTGCCTTTCTACATACAGTGAGTTATTTGAAAACAAAACAACAAAGGTTATACATTTTCCTTCAAATAATCCATGACAACTACAGTATATCTTAATATTATCTTGTTGATCGAATAGGTTAATGTTTATTTGTTGATTTGGAAAATATGCAGATAATAAAGAGGGCAAAGATAAATTATAACAAGCATTTGTGTAACATTACCATATGTTCACGTACCTAATTCTTACTTGCAAATAAGGGCTTTGCAATGTAAAATTTATATTCATAGTGGCCCACACCAAAGCAATTCCTTTGGTAGAACCTTTGTCTCGCTTATATGTCTGAATAGACTTGACTATGGAGACCCTCCAGAACAGTGGAGAAAAGCGACACAGAGAAAATCACTGAGCAACATAAACATGTTATTACTCTAAACATCCATAGATATGAATCTTATCTTGAAAACTGAGTTTAAAAATTTGATCTTTCATTTTGGATTGTTGTGATTCAAGATAAATAAAAAAGATGCTTAGATAATATGTTGAGTATAAATTATTAGTAAGTGAATTGTTCTTGTATGTCATCCTAAATTGTCACAGCATGGTGTCTTTGGGATTCAAAAGCACTTTATACATTCTTCACTTACTTAAATATCAAGTGTAAATCTGAATTGCTCTCACTAAAATATGCCTTTATTTTTAGAAATAGCCCTTTTCTGAAAATGCAAAAATGTTATGATAACCTATGTATAAATTTCAAAGCCACTTTGAAATACATAAATGCCTATTGTCTCCTTAATATTAACCAATATTCAAGCACCATGACATTTTTATTAAGGGTAATATCTAATTTTTTCCCAAAATATTAGCAAATAGATGATGTATTTTTAAACATCAGGTGAAGAGTTTGTTATTGGTCTGAGTGAATAAGAGGGTCTCAGTTAAAAGTGCATTGTCAAAACATCATGCAAATTTCAAACATTTTCATGATGGAACACCTGTGAGAAGATACCTTGTGTCTTCTTTCCTTAAAAAAATCGAAAAAATTAAATTACTGGTTGAACCTCTTTGCCTCTAAACCACAGTTAAAAACTAAAAATAGAATAATTTAAAAAATGAAAACTGAAAAATTTAATATCAGGATTTAGTCAGACCATGTCAACAGGAGGTTTAATAGGAAATATTAGAGTAAATAATGTAATTAATCAATCATTCTTATCATTTAGCTTTCTTTAGGGTAAGAAAATCCATAATTATGATGTTTATTATATTTAAAGTCTATTCAAGAGGCAGCTGAAATAGTAAAATCAACAACTAAAAACTATTACTTGGATAGAAAAGGTGTTTGTCTCTCTCTTGCATTTGGTTGTTTTATAACATTTTTTATCCAACCTCATATTAGACAGACAAAAATCAATGCAAATTAATGTAAAGGCAGAAATAATATTTTATTTCTCTTTTCACAAAAGGTAAGAAGGTCCTTCAGAGAAAGTAGAACAGGTATTCAGTAAAAGAGCTACTCCATTTATGACTAAAGGAGAATTAAACATGTGACTTATAAACCAAAATAAGTATGCAGTTTAGGCACCAGTTGCCTCCAGCTATAGGAAATTACCTCCCACATGAATATTATTTTTGGCAAGAGTTAGATGATTTTATTGAACTGGAGGGTACCAGATGATTAAGTGGCCATGAAGGGCACATTCCCATCTTGTCCATACTCAATGTCAGTAAACTATTTAGTTGCACTGGGCCTTAGATCAGATTTCCTGGTGAGGGTTCTATGGGGAGTCTTATCAATGATGATTGCTCTAGATAAGGTATGACATCTTTGTTGTTTTGCCCAAAAACACAAGCAGTAGTATATTCTACCTTCTCTTATTTCTCATTAAGTAGAAATGTAATATCAACCCAGAGTATATGCCATTTAATAAACTTGAACATTTACATTCTGTGGCTTTGTGAAATAAACTAAAGATATCTGACTATAAGAAATTTACAGTACCTCAGTTGGCTTATTTTGGAGAATAGATATATTTTTTAAAAATGCCTGTTCAGCAAACTTCTTTTGTGGTTTCTAGGCCACTAATGAAGTTATCAAATTATATGTTGATTCTTTTTTTTTTCATTTTTTAAAATTATTATTATACTTTAAGTTTTAGGGTACATGTGCACAATGTGCAGGTTAGTTACATATGTATACATGTGCCATGCTGGTGTGCTGCACCCACTAACTCATCATCTAGCATTAGGTATATCTCCCAATGCTATCCCTCCCCCCTCCCCCCACCCCACCACAGTCCCCAGAGTGTGATGTTCCCCTTCATGTGTCCATGTGATCTCATTGTTCAATTCCCACCTATGAGTGAGAATATGCGGTGTTTGGTTTTTTGTTCTTGCGATAGTTTACTGAGAATGATGTTTTCCAGTTTCATCCATGTCCCTACAAAGGACATGAACTCATCATTTTTTATGGCTGCATAGTATTCCATGGTGTATATGTGCCACATTTTCTTAATCCAGTCTATCATTGTTGGACATTTGGGTTGGTTCCAAGTCTTTGTTATTGTGAATAATGCCGCAATAAACATACGTGTGCATGTGTCTTTATAGCAGCATGATTTATTGTCCTTTGGGTATATGCCCAGTAATGGGATGGCTGGGTCAAATGGTATTTCTAGATCTCTGAAGAATTGCCACACTGACTTCCACAATGGTTGAACTAGTTTACAGTCCCACCAACGGTGTAAAAGTGTTCCTATTTCTCCACATGCTCTCCAGCACCTGTTGTTTCCTGACTTTTTAATGATTGCCATTCTAACTGGTGTGAGATGGTATCTCATTGTGATTTTGCTTTGCATTTCTCTGATGGCCAGTGATGGTGAGCATTTTTTCATGTGTTTTTTGGCTGCATAAATGTCTTCTTTTGAGAAGTGTCTGTTCATGTCCTTCACCCACTTTTTGATGGGGTTGTATGTTTTTTTCTTGTAAATTTGTTTGAGTTCATTGTAGATTCTGGATATTAGCCCTTTGTCAGATGAGTAGGTTGCGAAAATTTTCTCCCATTTTGTAGGTTGCCTGTTCACTCTGATGGTAGTTTCTTATGCTGTGCAGAAGCTCTTTAGTTTAATTAGATCCCATTTGTTGATTTTGGCTTTTGTTGCCATGGCTTTTGGTGTTTTAGACATGAAGTCCTTGCCCATGCTTATGTCCTGAATGGTAATGCCTAGGTTTTCTTCTAGGGTTTTTATGGTTTTAGGTCAAACGTTTAAGTCTTTAATCCATCTTGAATTGATTTTTGTATAAGGTGTAAGGAAGGGATCCAGTTTCAGTTTTCTACATATGGCTAGCCAGTTTTCCCAGCACCATTTATTAAATAGGGAATCCTTTCCCCATTGCTTGTTTTTCTCAGGTTTGTCAAAGATCAGATAGTTGTAGATATGTGGCATTATTTCGGAGGGCTCTGTTCTGTTCCATTGATCTATATCTCTGTTTTGGTACCAGTACCATGCTGTTTTGGTTACTGTAGCCTTGTAGTATAGTTTGAAGTCAGGTAGTGTGATGCCTCCAGCTTTGTTCTTTTGGCTTAGGATTGACTTTGCAATGCGGGCTCTTTTTTGGTTCCATATGAACTTTAAAGTAGTTTTTTCCAATTCTGTGAAGAAAGTGATTGGTAGCTTGATGGGGATGGCATTGAATCTATAAATTACCTTGGGCAGTATGGCCATTTTCACGATATTGATTCTTCCTACCCATGAGCATGGAATGTTCTTCCTTTTGTTTGTATCCTCTTTTATTTCCTTGAGCAGTGATTTGTACTTCTCCTTAAAGAGGTCCTTCACATCCCTTGTAAGTTGGATTCCTAGGTATTTTATTCTCTTTGAAGCAATTGTGAATGGGAGTTCACTCATGATTTGGCTCTCTGTTTGTCTGTTGATGGTGTATAAGAATGCTTGTGATTTCTGTACATTGATTTTGTATCCTGAGACTTTGCTGAAGTTGCTTATCAGCTTAAGGAGATTTTGGGCTGAGACAATGGGGTTTTCTAGATATACGATCATGTCGTCTGCAAACAGGGACAATTTGACTTCCTCTTTTCCTAATTGAATACCCTTTATTTCTTTCTCCTGCCTAATTGCCCTGGCCAGAACTTCCAACACTATGTTGAATAGGAGTGGTGAGAGAGGGCATCCCTGTATTGTGCCAGTCTTCAAAGGGAATGCTTCCAGTTTTTGCACATTCAGTATGATATTGGCTGTGGGTTTGTCATAGATAGCTCTTATTATTTTGAAATACGTCCCATCAATACCTAATTTATTGAGAGTTTTTAGCATGAAGGGTTGTTGAATTTTGTCAAAGGCCTTTTCTGCATCTATTGAGATAATCATGTGGTTTTTGTCTTTGGTTCTGTTTATATGCTGGATTACATTTATTGATTTGCGTATATTGAACCAGCCTTGCATCCCAGGGATGAAGCCCACTTGATCATGGCGGATAAGCTTTTTGATGTGCTACTGGATTCGGTTTGCCAGTATTTTATTGAGGATTTTTGCATCAATGTTCATCAAGGATATTGGTCTAAAATTCTCTTTTTTGGTTGTGTCTCTGCCTGGCTTTGGTATCAGGATGATGCTGGCCTCATAAAATGAGTTAGGGAGGATTCCCTCTTTTTCTATTGATTGGAATAGTTTCAGAAGGAACGCTACCAGTTCCTCCTTGTACCTCTGGTACAATTCGGCTGTGAATCCATCTAGTCCTGCACTCTTTTTGGTTGGTAAGCTATTGATTATTGCCACAATTTCAGATCCTGTTATTGGTCTATTCAGAGATTCAGCTTCTTCCTGGTTTAGTCTTGGGAGAGTGTATGTGTCGAGGAATTTATCCATTTCTTCTGGATTTTCTAGTTTATTTGTGTAGAGGTGTTTGTAGTATTCTCTGATGGTAGTTTGTATTTATGTGGGATCGGTGGTGATATCCCCTTTGTCATTTTTTATTGTGTCTATTTGATTCTTCTCTCTTTTTTTCTTTATTAGTCTTGCTAGCGGCCTATCAATTTTGTTGATCCTTTCAAAAAACCAGCTCCTGGATTCATTAATTTTTGGAAGGGTTTTTTTGTGTCTCTATTTCCTTCAGTTCTGCTCTGATTTTAGTTATTTCTTGCCTTCTGCTAGCTTTTGAATGTGTTTGCTCTTGCTTTTCTAGTTCTTTTAGTTGTGATGTTAGGGTGTCAATTTTGGATCTTTCCTGCTTTCTCTTGTGGGCATTTAGTGCTATAAATTTCCCTCTACACATCACTTTGAATGCGTCCCAGAGATTCTGGTATGTTGTGTCTTTGTTCTCGTTGGTTTCAAAGAACATCTTTATTTCTGCCTTCATTTCGTTATGTACCCAGTAGTCATTCAGGAGCAGGTTGTCCAGTTTCCATGTAGTTGAGCGGTTTTGAGTGAGATTCTTAATCCTGAGTTCTAGTTTGATTGCACTGTGGTCTGAGAGATAGTTTGTTATAATTTCTGTTCTTTTACATTTGCTGAGGAGAGCTTTACTTCCAACTATGTGGTCAATTTTGGAATAGATGTGGTGTGGTGCCGAAAAAATGTATATTCTGTTGATTTGGGGTGGAGAGTTCTGTAGATGTCTATTAGGTACGCTTGGCGCAGAGCTGAGTTCAATTCCTGGGTATCCTTGTTGACTTTCTGTCTCGTTGATCTGTCTAATGTTGACAGTGGGGTGTTGAAGTCTCCCATTATTAATGTGTGGGAGTCTAAGTCTCTTTGTAGGTCACTCAGGACTTGCTTTATGAATCTGGGTGCTCCTGTATTGGGTGCATATATATTTAGGATAGTTAGCTCTTCTTGTTGAATTGATCCCTTTACCATTATGTAATGGCCTTCTTTGTCTCTTTTGATCTTTGTTGGTTTAAAGTCTGTTTTATCAGAGACTAGGATGGCAACCCCTGCCTTTTTTTGTTTTCCATTTGCTTGGTAGATCTTCCTCCATCCTTTTATTTTGAGCCTATGTGTGTCTCTGCACGTGAGATGGGTTTCCTGAATACAGCACACTGATGGGTCTTAACTCTTTATCCAATTTGCCAGTCTGTGTCTTTTAATTGGAGCATTTAGTCCATTTACATTTAAAGTTAATATTGTTATGTGTGAATTTGATCCTGTCATTATGATGTTAGCTGGTTATTTTGCTCGTTAATTGATGGAGTTTCTTCCTAGTCTCAATGGTCTTTACATTTTGGCATGATTTTGCAGTGGCTGGTACCGGTTGTTCCTTTCCATGTTTAGCGCTTCCTTCAGGAGCTCTTTTAGGGCAGGCCTGGTGGTGACAAAATCTCTCAGCATTTGCTTGTCTGTAAAGTATTTTATTTCTCCTTCACTTATGAAGCTTAGTTTGGATGGATATGAAATTCTGGGTTGAAAATTCTTTTCTTTAAGAATGTTGAATATTGGCCCCCACTCTCTTCTGGCTTGTAGGGTTTCTGCTGAGAGATCCGCTGTTAGTCTGATGGGCTTCCCTTTGAGGGTAACCCGACCTTTCTCTCTGGCTGCCCTTAATATTTTTTCCTTCATTTCAACTTTGGTGAATCTGACAATTATGTGTCTTGGAGTTGCTCTTCTCGAGGAGTATCTTTGTGGCATTCTCTATATTTCCTGAATCTGAACGTTGGCTTGCCTTGCTAGATTGGGGAAGTTCTCCTGGATAATATCCTGCAGAGTGTTTTCCAACTTGGTTCCATTCTCCCCGTCACTTTCAGGTACACCAATCAGATGTAGATTTGGTCTTTTCACATAGTCCCATATTTCTTGGAGGCTTTGCTCATTTCTTTTTATTCTTTTTTCTCTAAACTTCCCTTCTCGCTTCATTTCATCTTCCATCGCTGATACCCTTTCTTCCAGTTGATCGCATCGGCTCCTGAGACTTCTGCATTCTTCATGTAGTTCTCGAGCCTTGGTTTTCAGCTCCATCAGCTCCTTTAAGCACTTCTCTGTATTGGTTATTCTAGTTATACATTCTTCTAAATTTTTTGCAAAGTTTTCAACTTCTTTGCCTTTGGTTTGAATGTCCTCCCGTAGCTCAGAGTAATTTGATCGTCTGAAGCCTTCTTCTCTCAGCTCGTCAAAGTCATTCTCCATCCAGCTTTGTTCCGTTGCTGGTGAGGAACTGCGTTCCTTTGGAGGAGGAGAGGCGCTCTGCTTTTTAGAGTTTCCAGTTTTTCTGTTCTGTTTTTTCCCCATCTTTGTGGTTTTATCTACTTTTGGTCTTTGATGATGGTGATGCACAGATGGGTTTTTGGTGTGGATGTCCTTTCTGTTTGTTAGTTTTCCTTCTAACAGACAGGACCCTCAGCTGCAGGTCTGTTGGAGTACCCTGCCATGTGAGGTGTCAGTCTGCCCCTGCTGTGGGGTGCCTCCCAGTTAGGCTGCTCAGGGGTCAGGGGTCAGGGACCCACTTGAGGAGGCAGTCTGCCCGTTCTCAGATCTCCAGCTGCGTGCTGGGAGAACCACTGCTCTCTTCAAAGCTGTCAGACAGGGCCATTTAAGTCTGCAGAGGTTACTGCTGTCTTTTTGTTTGTCTGTGCCCTGCCCCCAGAGGTGGAGCCTACAGAGGCAGGCAGGCCTCCTTGAGCTGTGGTGGGCTCCACCCAGTTGGAGCTTCCAGGCTGCTTTGTTTACCTAATCAAGCCTGGGCAATGGCGGGCGCCCCTCCCCCCGCCTCGCTGCGGCCTTGCAGTTTGATCTCAGACTGCTGTGCTAGCAATCAGCGAGACTCCGTGGGCGTAGGACCCTCCCAGCCAGGTGTGGGATATAGTCTCCTGGTGCGCCGTTTTTTAAGCCCGTCGGAAAAGGGCAGTATTCGGGTGGGAGTGACCCGATTTTCCAGGTGCCATCCGTCACCCCTTTCTTTGACTAGGAAAGGGAACTCCCTGACCCCTTGCGCTTCCCGAGTGAGGCTATGCCTCGCCCTGCTTTGGCTCGTGCACGGTGCGCGCACCCACTGACCTGCGCCCACTGTCTGGCACTCCCTAGTGAGATGAACCCGGTACCTCAGATGGAAATGCAGAAATCACCCGTCTTCTGCGTTGCTCACGCTCGGAGCTGTAGATCGGAGCTGTTCCTATTCAGCCATCTTGGCTCCTCCCCAAATTATATGTTGATTCTTAAGCATAGTGTTAATTTGACAATTTTCAGATCCTAATAGAAGTCTTTTTGAAAATCTGAAGTAGTGTATTAGTTAAATGTTATTCTGCAATTATTCAAATGACATTATAATTGAGATACATACTTTAGAGCTGTTCACATATACTAAGCCAATTGTGAAAGAAATAAACATTTGTCCAATTTTATTAAATTGATGGTAGAATCATATATCTAGAAATTATTGTCTACATTAAAAGGTGGTTGTGAATACTATACCCTACAAGATCTTTAAGGCTCTCCAAAAAAATACCACATGGGCAGTTTAACATTTCAAAAATAATATATTGAACTAAGACAAATTTGTGCTGACATATGTAAACTATCATTCAGAAACTGTCAAACACAAAAGTTACTATTTGAGGATACGACCATTCTTTCTTAACTGGAAGCTTTCTTAACTCTCTCACAGGAGAGCATACTTTACTGAGATGAACAAAAACAGTTTTGTGAACTGCATTTCTATTATGGCTTAGTTGCCTGAGAAGTACGTATTAAAAACAAAAGTTCATATATACTCTAGACTTTCTGCTCAAAACTCAAAATGAAGTAAAAATGTGGCTTAGATCAGTGAATGTATTGGATTACAATTCCTAAGAAGGGTGTGGTGAGGAGAAACAGAAGGTGGAAACAAAACCACATTTCCTGATGAAATTGCAGCATTACTAACACAGGTGAAAAGTGTGACATGGATGTGAGCAAAATATCAAACAAACTTAAACACCAAGCCATTATGTTGTTAACACCTTAAGTAAATTCCACTCACAGAGTACCAAAGAAATTAGAAACAGAAGGGGGAAAAAAAAAAGAAAATACCCCCTCTATCACACACACAGAAACACACACACACACACATACACACAGAGCACGGATGCAATCCATGGATGTAAGAAAAATTTTACACTATTATATTTATTGAGCACCTTCTCTATATCAATAAATATTTTGGCTTCGTTACTTATGTTGTTCTTTTAAAATTAAAATTTTTCAACAGTTTATATGTCTACATGGTATAAAATTGAAAATGTAAAATTTATAAGGTACCAAATCTCCCTCCCAGCCTTTCTACAGGCAACTACTGCTGCAAGTTTGCTTATTTTATCTTTGCATATATTAAAGAATTACACAAGCACCGAAAATAATAGTATGCTATTACATTGTCTTATTTCTCACAACACACTAGTGAAAGTAATACTGCCATACCATTTCAGGTACAAGGAAACTGAGGCTCAGAGAGCTTCAAATAATTTTTTCAATTGTATCTAATTAACTTAGAGAGTTCCTTATTTGCTCTAGTATCAAGTGAGAGCATTTTGTAATGTCAAATTATGCTCTTTCCTGAGACAAGACAGCATTTTGACTTGAGGATATAAACTTAGCTAAAAGTCTCAGACCTTTGAAATAGGTCTCAATAATACCTCTTAGGGATGGAATATTTCTAAATTATTAGTGCTGCATTGCCTGGAAAAGATTTCAATGAAAAAATAAAATTGCTCTCAAGTTGACTGTTCTTTCACATCATGAAAATGTGAGATAGTACTTAGTGTTGGAAAATACTGAGGCTTATCCTTGTGCTATGTTCACATCTGGCATTTATTATTAGCAGGTGAGTAATTGCTATCTTTAGTAAAAGATTTTTTAAAACAAATTCATAAAAAAAATTTGCAGGTGGATGAAATAAGAAAGAGTAAAAAAAATAAGGCCAGGCGCTGTGGCTCACACCTGTAATCCCAGCACTTTGGGAGGCTGAGGTGGGTGGATCACGAGGTCAGGAGTTCGAGACCAGCCTGACCAACATGGTGAAACCTTGTCTCTCCTAAAAATTCAAAACTTAGCCAGGCCTGGTGGCACATGCCTGTAGTCTAAGCTACTCAGGAGGCTGAGGTAGGAGAATTGCTTGAACCCGGGAGACAGAGGTTGCAGTTAGCTGAGATGCCACTGCACTCCAGCCTGGGCGACAGAGCAAGATAAATAAATAAATAAATAAATAAATAAATAAATAAATAAAGACTGGAGCAAATTCATCTTGACAAAATGATCACTTTTAAAGGAGATTGCAAAATTAACTTTACTATTTTGGTTTGAAAAACTTAGGACATGTTCTTGGATTTGGGGACTTCATTCAGTAGCTTTGCATTGCTCAAGAGAGAATCCATATTCTCAATAGTCCTCAGCTTAAAAACCCATGGCATTTTGGGAAGAAGTCATATTAAACCTTGCTAGTTTTTGTAAACTAAAAATTTTAAGCTGTCATCTGGTTTTAAAGTTTACTACTGTTTGAAACTACTTCTTTCCTAGTGGGATTGGTGGTATAAAAAATATTTGCTGCCAAGATCCATCTAGCCAGTTTACAGATGGTTTGAGCCCAACCTGAAATTTTATTTCCCAGTATTGGGGAAGGAAGAAGCCTAGAACCACCTTAAAATTTCTATCTTATTTGTACCAATGAGGAAGGTGTATCCAAAAGCTTTTGGGAACATAGGTTTTCCCAATGGCCATTTTCTGATATACAAAGTACAACCTGTATATTTCTGAGACAGCTGTTACCCTTGTATGTAAAAGAGTTTGGGAAGTGCTGTAGAAAATATTTATGTTAAAAAGCTCCATTAAACTAGTGAGCATTCTTTTTAGAGCAGTATGAGAGAAAATGCCAACGAAAACCCAACAAGGGGAACTAAATGTACCATAAGAGGAAGAATTTATAGCACAGTTATAAAGAAAGCAAATAACTTCAACACAGAGAGTTTCAGCTCTTGAATTAAAATGGCGTTTCAGGTATTTTGAAGGATTTTGCCAGGTATAATATGGCCTGTTTCTTTTTCTGTATCTTGCTATTCAATGATTTCAGAAGTTAATTTATTT
Source organism: Homo sapiens (assembly GCF_000001405.40). Classification (NCBI taxonomy): domain Eukaryota; kingdom Metazoa; phylum Chordata; class Mammalia; order Primates; family Hominidae; genus Homo; species Homo sapiens. The sequence goes on from NC_000007.14 coordinate 84,058,647, forward strand.
GGTCTTGTCAATAAGCGCTACATACCTCTGAAAATTACTAAATTATTTTACCATATTGGATAGGTTAGGTCTGCACTTCCATCTGAAAGTTCTTTTTCTGAAACACCTATTGTTCTTTCTAGCCACGTCCTCTTCCTGACTCACTGAACTTTGCTCATTCTCTCTGCCTTTTCATAAACCTATATAGCTTTTTCAAAGATATTCAAATATAAAACTAAAACTGTGGAGTTTCGTTTTCTTTGTGGACTTTGGGTGGTTGCATACCATATGAACTAGGTAATACCTACTTGTCATCATTCTTTCTCAGCGGAATATTAAAATAAATAATCAAGCAAGTCCCTACTGAGAAACATACCATGAAGTAAAGCTGCTTTGGGCACACTTTAGCATACTGCTTTTTAAGGAATACCTATCCTTTTTTCAGTGTGCAATTTAAATAACTATAAGCTGTAAGTTCATACAAAATATGACTCCTACCCTTTGTTTAAAACAACGTTCAAATTTCAGCATGTATTTTTGAGGAAGCCATCCACAAATAATCACTAGACCAACCATAAATAGGAAAATTGTAAGTGTGCTAGGTATGCTGCCTTCCTTCAGGTCTTAAACTTTTGTTAAAATGCTGCATAAATGCATGAAATGGACTAAAAGTGTCCACATTTGAAAAGCAACAGAGGAGATAATTCATGCCACAATGGATTTCTTCTTAATAGAATAAGGATCAGTGAAACATGGTGACAAAAGAAAACACTAGAAAATACAGAAAAAATATATATCTTCATGGTTAATATGGCAGTCAATATGACTAGAGTTTATTTTTCTGAGTAGGAAAAAATTATAAGAAGAGAAACATGGAAAACTTTATAAACTTATGACATATCAGATAACCTAAATTTAATTTTTTAATCAAGATTTATTATTTAAAATTTAATTAGAAATTTTAGATTTGAAAAGTTTCATTTTGTTGTGCTATTAAATAATTCTTTTGCATATTGTATAGAAAAGGAAAACAAAAAGGTACATAATTTCTACACAATTATGTAGAAAAATATGTTCAAGAACAGAATCATGACCCAGAATTTTTTTATGTTTTAGGTTGTTGGTATGCTCAAAATTTAAAAAATAAAAAAGAAAGGAAAAAATGATAAAATAAAGAGAAAATAAAAAATTTAAAAATTGCTTCATGATTTGCCACTTTTTGTTTGTGTATTTAGTTAACTCCAGTCCGGAGGTAGTTAAGAGTCTGGAAAAAATTCTTTATTTTTCAATACAGACTAAAGTTTTATCTTATTTGTATCTACTTCTATTATTTTGAACTATAAGCATTCCCCACTTATCAGCAATGCTAAATGAAAAGAGGAGAAAGCTAGAAAAGATGATGGTTACAGAAAAAGGTAGAGGACGTCACATCAAATATTTTGTTAGATTTTCCAAAAAAGAAGAGCTAATTTCATAAAAGGTGAATACAGAATGTAACTTCCCTTAGCCTGTATATGTAATATGTATATTAGGATGAGCCAGCACAAGGTAACACAATGGGTCTCTGCCAACTGTACCAAGTGGGGCTGCATAGTAATTGAGAGGCCATTTTAAGATCCTATTCCATTTCCATTAAAAAGAATCAGACTAGTTGGTGCAATAAGCAAAATAGCATTTAGTGTTTCTTCTTCATTTTCAAACATTTGAATATATCACAACTAATGTCCTTCTAAAACAATTATTATTTCATAATGGAAAATCTTGGTAGATAAAAAAGAACATACAACCTGTTTGTTATTTATAGAAAACTCACTATTTAATTGATTGTTGACTACGCACCTATTAAAAGGGATGCTGTCAGCAGCTTAGGGTCATATGGACTCTTCCCACGGCCGTTTTCAAAATGTGAGTTCTCCAGCTTAAAAATATTGTCCTGTGGATTTAAAAAAGAAAGAGAAAAGGGTTTCCTTTATATATAAAAATGAGTGTTTTCAACACATCAGTTAATCAGAGAGATGTCAAGTATTCATGTCCAACACAAGAGTTATTTTTATTTGTTCAAATTTTTGAGATGGCAAAATAAATCAAGTGTATTGAAAATAGGTAATACTAGCCAAATATCTACTTAGCTTAATGATATTTAGTAGCAGTTAGCACGTTGCAAACAATAATGTGTAAATAAACTATAAAGAACAGGATGTGTCATGGTAAGAGGAGAGTGATTATTTTATCACACAGGTATGTTATAATCTATCATAATGGCTTTTGAGGAAAGAATGTTAAACTTAAATAAAATGACTCATTTCCTTCCTTTGTAGAAAAGAAAAATAGCAATTCACTACGTTAGTTGTCTAGAATAAATTACACAATCTTGTCAGTATGTACTTTCCAGAAGACATGTTAAATAGCCATCAAATTTATTTTCCCCACTATGTCCTTTGCACATCTTTGGTGGCTACGTGCTTCTTGTGTATTTTTAAGTTACAGCAGCAGGTGAAGTGCCTGAAATGCCTCATTCACTTCTCTAAGAGGGAAATATCCCAGGTTAGGAGAGCAGTGTGCCTGGAGGTGGTGTCAATGGAATAACAAGCACATTATTACCACGGGAAAGCCTGCTCTGTTGGGTCCCTAAGTACTCAGAAACAGGAATGAACTTTTGACTACCTATAAAAAATATACACATGTCTCAAGGTAGAATATGTGCAGGAAAGCATGACATCAAAAATCTTGATAAGGAGATAACTAATTCACGCTTGAGACCCTGTTGTCAGAATGTGTCTACCTACTGCACTCTATATGTGACAGTGGAGTAAATCTGGGGACATTTCTGAGCATTCTTTTAAGAACCAAGTGCCCTGGGAATTAATTAGATAAGAATATGTATGCTTTTTCCAGTAGTACATTAAGTTGTCCACAGACTGAAATAAAATAGCTTTTTATTTTTTGGCAATTTCTCTACTATTCACATAAAAGTATTTTCTACCATCTTGGTATATTAAATGGTGTCCATTTTATGATCAGTAGGGATCATTTTGTTTAACATTTAATATTTCTGATGGAACTAATGGCAGGGTTTCAAATTATTACTCTTAAAACTCATTTGAATTAGGGACGAAAGTTAAAAAAAAGGAAGAAATTCCAAGTGTTCTGTTTTTACTACTGTGAATGAGAATTACCAATTCTAATCTTCTTTCTTTGCATTTATTCTGTATTTGGCAATTAGCTGTCCTGTACCAATGATATTTCTTTAGGTTAGTTCTAAAATCTATACTGTGAAATAATTTATGGGCTTTCACAGAATTGTACTAAGTTATAGTGGAAAACGCAATGAGCCAGGCACCAGGCTTAGCTCTGGTTCTCTGGTCACTGTTTCATATCTCTGAGCCTCTGGTCCTAAAATGTCAGCACATGTAAGGATATTTAACCTCACAAGTTAATTTGGAGGGTTAAATAATTTATTTAAAACATTTTAAAAGCAGCAAAATTTTAAAAATGCTATTTATATTCTATTAATTATGTTAGTATTACCAGTATAGCAAAATAATATGGAAATTAACACAGGTTGTTGCCATTATTTTCAACTTTCCTAACATAGTGTCAAAGAAATATTACATTGAGATGTTTATATACATCACTAAATTACAAACTTTTTCACAAATACGAATTTATCATAGGCATTTAAATATTAAAATTATATGAAAAGACATATTCTATTCAAAAACTTAGAAGAATCATTAAAGAAATACCCAGATATATGTGTATTTTGATGAAAAATTAGGAAATAGGAGGAGCCAAGATGGCCGAATAGGAACAGCTCCGGTCTACGGCTCCCAGAGTGAGCGACGCAGAAGATGGTGATTTCTGCATTTCCATCTCAGGTACCGGGTTCACCTCACTACGGAGTGCGAGACAGTGGGCATAGGTCAGTGGGTGCGCGCACCACGCGCGAGCCGAAGCAGGGCGAGGCATTGCCTCACTTGGGAAGCGCAAGGGGTCAGGGAGTTCCCTTTCTGAGTCAAAGAAAGGGGTGACAGACGGCACCTGGAAAATCCGGTCACTCCCACCCGAATACTGCGCTTTTCCGGCGGGCTTAAAAAACGGCGCATCACGAGATTATATCCCGCACCTGGCTTGGAGGGTCCTACACCCACGGAGTCTCGCTGATTGCTAGCACAGCAGTCTGAGATCAAACTACAAGGCCGCAGCGAGGCGGGGGGAGGGGCGTCCGCCATTGCCAAACTTGATTAGGTAAACAAAGCAGCCTGGAAGCTCCAACTGGGTGGAGCCCACCACAGCTCAAGGAGGCCTGCCTGCCTCTGTAGGCTCCACCTCTGGGGGCAGGGCACAGACAAACAAAAAGACAGCAGTAACCTCTGCAGACTTAAATGGCCCTGTCTGACAGCTTTGAAGAGAGCAGTGGTTCTCCCAGCACGCCGCTGGAGATCTGAGAACGGGCAGACTGCCTCCTCAAGTGGGTCCCTGACCCCTGACCCCTAAGCAACCTAACTGTGAGGCACCCCCAAGCAGGGGCACACTGACACCTCACATGGCAGGGTATTCCAACAGACCTGCAGCTGAGGGTCCTGTCTGTTAGAAGGAAAACTAACAAACAGAAAGGACATCCACACCAAAAACCCATCTGTACATCACCATCATTGAGGACCAAAAGTAGATAAAACCACAAAGATGGGGAAAAAACAGAACAGAAAAACTGGAAACTCTAAAAAGCAGAGCGCCTCTCCTCCTCCAAAGGAACGCAGTTCCTCACCAGCAACGGAACAAAGCTGGATGGAGAATGACTTTGACGAGCTGAGAGAAGAAGGCTTCAGACGATCAAATTACTCTGAGCTACGGAAGGACATTCAAACCAAAGGCAAAGAAGTTGAAAACTTTGAAAAAAATTTAGAAGAATGTATAACTAGAATAACCAATACAGAGAAGTGCTTAAAGGAGCTGATGGAGCTGAAAACCAAGGCTCGAGAACTACATGAAGAATGCAGAAGCCTCAGGAGACGATGCGATCAACTGGAAGAAAGGGTATCAGCGATGGAAGATGAAATGAATGAAATAAAGCGAGAAGGGAAGTTTAGAGAAAAAAGAATAAAAAGAAATGAGCAAAGCCTCCAAGAAATATGGGACTATGTGAAAAGACCAAATCTACGTCTGATTGGTGTACCTGAAAGTGATGGGGAGAATGGAACCAAGTTGGAAAACACTCTGCAGGATATTATCCAGGAGAACTTCCCCAATCTAGCAAGGCAAGCCAACATTGAGATTCAGGAAATACAGAGAACGCCACAAAGATACTCCTCGAGAAGAGCAACTCCAAGACACATAATTGTCAGATTCACCAAAGTTGAAATGAAGGAAAAAATGTTAAGGGCAGCCAGAGAGAAAGGTCGGGTTACCCACAAAGGGAAGCCCATCAGACTAACAGCTGATCGCTCAGCAGAAACCCTACAAGCCAGAAGAGAGGGGGGGCCAATATTCAACATTCTTAAAGAAAAGAATTTTCAACCCAGAATTTCATATCCATCCAAACTAAGCTTCATAAGCGAAGGAGAAATAAAATACTTTACAGACAAGCAAATGCTGAGAGATTTTGTCACCACCAGGCCTGCCCTAAAAGAGCTCCTGAAGGAAGCACTAAACATGGAAAGGAACAACTGGTACCAGCCACTGCAAAATCATGCCAAAATGTAAACACCATCAAGACTAGGAATAAACTGCATCAACTAACGAGCAAAATAACCAGGTAACATCATAATGACAGGATCAAATTCACACATAACAATATTAACTTTAAATGTAAATGGACTAAATGCTCCAATTAAAAGACACAGACTGGCAAATTGGATAAAGAGTCAAGAGCCATCAGTGTGCTGTACTCAGGAAACCCATCTCACGTGCAGAGACACACATAGGCTCAAAATAAAAGGATGGAGGAAGATCTACCAAGCAAATGGAAAACAAAAAAAGGCAGGGGTTGCCATCCTAGTCTCTGATAAAACAGACTTTAAACCAACAAAGATCAAAAGAGACAAAGAAGGCCATTACATAATGGTAAAGGGATCAATTCAACAAGAAGAGCTAACTATCCTAAATATATATGCACCCAATACAGGAGCACCCAGATTCATAAAGCAAGTCCTGAGTGACCTACAAAGAGACTTAGACTCCCACACATTAATAATGGGAGACTTCAACACCCCACTGTCAACATTAGACAGATCAACGAGACAGAAAGTCAACAAGGATACCCAGGAATTGAACTCAGCTCTGCGCCAAGCGGACCTAATAGACATCTACAGAACTCTCCACCCCAAATCAACAGAATATACATTTTTTCGGCACCACACCACACCTATTCCAAAATTGACCACATACTTGGAAGTGAAGCTCTCCTCAGCAAATGTAAAAGAACAGAAATTATAACAAACTATCTCTCAGACCACAGTGCAATCAAACTAGAACTCAGGATTAAGAATCTCACTCAAAACCGCTCAACTACATGGAAACTGAACAACCTGCTCCTGAATGACTACTGGGTACATAACGAAATGAAGGCAGAAATAAAGATGTTCTTTGAAACCAACGAGAACAAAGACACAACATACCAGAATCTCTGGGACGCATTCAAAGCAGTGTGTAGAGGGAAATTTATAGCACTAAATGCCCACAAGAGAAAGCAGGAAAGATCCAAAATTGACACCCTAACATCACAATTAAAAGAACTAGAAAAGCAAGAGCAAACACATTCAAAAGCTAGCAGAAGGCAAGAAATAACTAAAATCAGAGCAGAACTGAAGGAAGTAGAGACACAAAAAACCCTTCCAAAAATTAATGAATCCAGGAGCTGGTTTTTTGAAAGGATCAACAAAATTGATAGACCGCTAGCAAGACTAATAAAGAAAAAAAGAGAGAAGAATCAAATAGACGCAATAAGAAATGATAAAGGGGATATCACCACTGATCCCACAGAAATACAAACTACCATCAGAGAATACTACAAACACCTCTACGCAAATAAACTAGAAAATCTAGAAGCAATGGATAAATTCCTCGACGTATACACTCTCCCAAGACTAAACCAGGAAGAAGTTGAATCTCTGAGTAGACCAATAACAGGGTCTGAAATTGTGACAATAATCAATAGCTTACCAACCAAAAAGAGTCCAGGACCAGATGGATTCACAGCTGAATTCTACCAGAGGTACGAGGAGGAACTGGTAGCATTCCTTCTGAAACTATTCCAATCAATAGAAAAAGAGGGAATCCTCCCTAACTCATTTTATGAGGCCAGCATCATTCTGATACCAAAGCCAGGCAGAGACACAACAAAAAAAGAGAATTTTAGACCAATATCCTTGATGAACATTGATGCAAAAATCCTCAATAAAATACTGGCAAACCGAATCCAGCAGCACATCAAAAAGCTTATCCGCCATGATCAAGTGGGCTTCATCCCTGGGATGCAAGGCTGGTTTAATATACGCGAATCAATAAATGTAATCCAGCATATAAACAGAGCCAAAGACAAAAACCACATGATTATCGCAATAGATGCAGAAAAAGCCTTTGACAAAATTCAACAACACTTCATGCTAAAAACTCTCAATAAATTAGGTATTGATGGGACGTATTTCAAAATAATAAGAGCTATCTATGACAAACCCACATCCAATATCATACTGAATGGGCAAAACCTGGAAGCATTCCCTTTGAAGACTGGCACAATACAGGGATGCCCTCTCTCACCACTCCTATTCAACATAGTGTTCGAAGTTCTGGCCAGGGCAGTTAGGCAGGAGAAGGAAATAAAGGGTATTCAATTAGGAAAAGAGGAAGTCAAATTGTCCCTGTTTGCAGACGACATGATCGTATATCTAGAAAACCCCATTGTCTCAGCCCAAAATCTCCTTAAGCTGATAAGCAACTTCAGCAAAGTCTCAGGATACAAAATCAATGTACAAAAATCACAAGCATTCTTATACATCATCAACAGACAAACAGAGAGCCAAATCATGAGTGAACTCCCATTCACAATTGCTTCAAAGAGAATAAAATACCTAGGAATCCAACTTACAAAGGATGTGAAGGACCTCTTCAAGGAGAACTACAAACCACTGCTCAATGAAATAAAAGAGGATACAAACAAATCGAAGAACATTCCATGCTCATGGGTAGGAAGAATCAATATCGTGAAAATGGCCATACTGCCCAAGGTAATTTACAGATTGAATGCCATCCCCGTCAAGCTACCAATGCCTTTCTTCACAGAATTGGAAAAAACTGCTTTAAAGTTCATATGGAACCAAAAAAGAGCCTGCATCGCCAAGTCAATCCTAAGCCAAAAGAACAAAGCTGGAGGCATCACACTACCTGACTTCAAACTATACTACAAGGCTACAGTAACCAAAACAGCATGGTACTGCTACCAAAACAGAGATATAGATCAACGGAAGAGAACAGAGCCCTCAGAAATAACGCTGCATATCTACAAGTATCTGTTCTTTGACAAACCTGAGAAAAACAAGCAATCGGGAAAGGATTCCTTATTTAATAAATGGTGCTGGGAAAACTGGCTAGCCATATGTAGAAAGCTGAAACTGGATCCCTTCCTTACACCTTATACAAAAATCAATTCAAGATGGATTAAAGACTTAAACGTTTGACCTAAAACCATAAAAACCCTAGAAGAAAACCTAGGCATTACCATTCAGGACATAAGCATGGGCAAGGACTTCATGTCTAAAACACCAAAAGCCATGGCAACAAAAGCCAAAATTGACAAATGGGATCTAATTAAACTAAAGAGCTTCTGCACAGCAAAAGAAACTACCATCAGAGTGAACAGGCAACCTACAAAATGGGAGAAAATTTTCGCAACCTACTCATCTGACAAAGGGCTAATATCCAGAATCTACATTGAACTCAAACAAATTTACAAGAAAAAAACAAACAACCCCATCAAAAAGTTGGCGAAGGACATGAACAGACACTTCTCAAAAGAAGACATTTATGCAGCCAAAAAACACATGAAAAAATGCTCATCATCACTGGTCATCAGAGAAATGCAAATCAAAACCACAATAAGATACCATCTCACACCAGTTAGAATGGCAATCATTAAAAAGTCAGGAAACAACAGGTGCTGGAGAGGATGTGGAGAAATAGGAACACTTTTACACTGTTGGTGGGACTGTAAACTAGTTCAACCATTGTGGAAGTCAGTGTGGCTATTCCTCAGGGATCTAGAACTGGAAATACCATTTGACCCAGCCATCCCATTACTGGGTATATACCCAAAGGACTATAAATCATGCTGCTATAAAGACACATGCACACGTATGTTTATTGCGGCATTATTCACAATAGCAAAGACTTGGAACCAACCCAAATGTCCAACAATGATAGACTGGATTAAGAAAATGTGGCACATATACACCATGGAATACTATGCAGCCATAACAAATGATGAGTTCATGTCCTTTGTAGGGACATGGATGAAATTGGAAAACATCATTCTCAGTAAACTATCGCAAGAACAAAAAACCAAACACCGCATATTCTCACTCATAGGTGGGAATTGAACAATGAGATCACATGTACACAGGAAGGGGAATATCACACTCTGGGGACTGTTGTGGGGTGGGGTGAGGGGGGAGGGATAGCATTGGGAGATATACCTAATGCTAGATGACGAGTTAGTGGGTGCAGCACACCAGCATGGCACATGTATACATATGTAACTAACCTGCACATTGTGCACATGTACCCTAAAACTTAAAGTATAATTAAAAAAAAAAAAAAACTGGAAAAAACAAAAGAAAAATTAGGAAATAGTGAAAAGGAAACATAAAAGACCTATACTCTATTGTCACAATTCATACAAAATATTAAAATATGTATATGCGACTATATATTACAGACTAAAAGAAGCAGCAGAACGAAGTGGTAGTGTGGTAGAAATTATTGTTATGAATATTATATTTTCTTGTACTCAATAAGACATTTTACACTACTGACACAGACAGACGTGCTATCTCCTCAAAGCATAAGATACTTTATGTCTGGGATCATATGTCCAAGTTAATCAGACAGTGCCAAGGTAGATGAGAAGTGCTTCCAATTTCATGCAGTATTTGATTTACAAGGTAAAGGATTAGAACTCATAGGAAGAGAGGTTAAGCATGTCAGTTATGGTTCAAGAGAAGATGAAAAACTATCCTTCGTCATGGTGTCAGGTAATGTGTTGAAAGCTGGCATCCCTTTCCTTTCCTCCTTTTTGTTCAACCCCGTAAATAAATACTAAGTTAGTCACCTCTTTTACCGATACATAATATGTTTCCTTTTAATGTAATTCCTACCCAAATTTCTGGGAATCTACCATGTAAATCTTCTATATTCTTACACAATTCCATAGAGAATAAATTGAATTTCCTTTCCAGTCTAGTGAGATGAGGATCTGAAATAAATATAATTTGATTTTTGGATAGAGAGATAAAATGACACTTCTTACACATGTTTGTAGTGTAAAATTCATGCCCATTACATGTAATAATGGGCTTTAAGGATGTTGAAATCGGGCAGAACTGGGTGTTATCTCTGGCTGTGCCTTTTATTGGCTCTGTGCCTCAGGCAAGTTCCTACACCCTTCTGAAATTCAGACTCCTGTAATAAGCAGATAAGAAAATCTCATAGTTGAAGTAAATAATTCTTGTTATAATGTCTACAAAATACTTAGTATGCCCTTGAAACAGATTTATTAATTTCCCTTAACCATTGTTTATAGTTGTTACAGTAAACTTATTCTGTTCTACTATGATCAAAATATCTTATGTCACAGTAGAAATGCCAGCCTATATTTTTATCAGGCAAAATTATAAGGCATGTTTGAAATATCTGTAAATATTTTGACCTTTCACAATGCATTGAAAATTCTTTCTTATAGGTAGATGAGAAGATAATTGAAAAGGTTTCATGAAAAAATAATTTAAATTAGAAAAAGTACATTATTTTTCTAATATGAGACATTCTTTCAAAAGGAATATAACTGCCGATTCATTAAAATATTTTGTTGAGAATCTCTAAAAGTTACAACATTACATAGAATGCGTGTGAAAATCATCAAATAAAACAGCGTCCTCTTTAATATATCTGATAAATTTAAAGTCATTTATATGAATAGACACTAATATTGCTGTTTCTGTTATCTAATGAGCAAGACCTTAATTTAGATGTGTGAAGGTATTGAATTATCATGAACGAACAGTGTTAATATAATTGCGTATTAACACCCTATGTTATCATATGAAAAATATCACATAGACCACTATCTGGCTTTACTTGGAAGGACTTTCAAAATCTGATTGCTACCCAGTGGATTTCTGTTTTGGAAGAGTGTGAAATAGATCGCATATGCAAGTAATAAGACTGAAAATCCTAAGACCAATGTACACAATTAAACTGCATAACTTAAATGTCTTACATGGGCTGAAAGAGTTTTCACTGTAGAAATACATGAATAAAACTTTAGCTATACTGATTCTAATTGCTTTAGCAGATGCTATGAGCATATCATATAAGTTATTGTGCTATATTTTATTACATGATTGCATCAGTTTTCAACGACTGTTTTTAGCTTTCAAGACCACTCTCTCCCCTTTGTCTTTTGGATTTCCTGAATGTTATTAGACTGTGGTGAGGTAAGGCATTAGAGGAAATAATAACTGTGCTAATGTCTAATCCAAAGTCTTATAAATTATAAACCATTGGTGACTTCATGGCAATAAATTTCCTAAATCTCAATGTTGTCCAAGTCATAAATTTAGGTAACAAAGTTGTAATTTTAGTTGTTGTGTTTAATGATTAAAACGTAAATGATGTTTGTAAAAGAAAAAGAAAAGAAAGGAAACCTTTATATATGTGATAGGATGAATATTTTAGGTGGGAAATTGCATAAAATTATGTGAAAACTAATAGTTGGACGGTATTGAAAGAATGTATGTTATCATATATTTTTTTCAAATGGCATTTTCTGCCTTTCTGTTTCTCACAAAAGACACTTTGTATGCCAGTTATACTAAATTATTGAATATTCCCCTGGTCATGCCATCCTTTTCTCATCTCTGCCTGAGACCCCTTCCTTCTGCCCTCACTCATCCTCAGCCCCCAGCCTGAGGGTGACCTTCTTTTCCTTTGAGATTAAATTCAAAAGTCACTTCCTGGAAGTCTTCAGAGATTCCTGCTGATATAATTAGTTAGTCTTCCTTTGCACATACTTGAATTAACAATAGTATACAGGCAATAACTATACAGGGTGAAACTACTGGCTTCAGCAAATAAAGAGTGTAATAAGATCTCAAAGGAAATATTGTGACATATTGCACTTTGACCAAAAGAGATCCTTCTGCAGATCAAATTTATCCATAATTTACTTTTCCTTAAAAGGCGACTTTAGATATACACTGTGCAATACTACAGTCACACATTGCATGTGGTTATTTAATTTAAACTAATCAAAGGGAAAAATTCCATTCGTCAGCTTCATGAGTCACATTTCAAGATGTCAATAGTCACATATGGCTAGTGGCTTCCATAATGGATAAAGGCAAATATAGAATATTTCCATTGAACAACACGTGTCCAAATTCTGAATCCTATGCCCTTAACAGCACACAATATAGAGTCAGCAGTCAGAGGACCTCCAGGAAGAGAAATTTTGACATGAGATCACAATCATACTAGAAAAAGTCCATGAGATCTAGAAGGAGGGATCACACTGAAAACATTAGTTTAGTTTTTGGGTTAATTCTTTTTTAGGCCAGGAGTTATGCGAAGTGGTGTTTAATGGCAGGACAGATGAAAAAATACTCACTCTATTTTTCCTGTATGTCATTCTTCATGTATTTGGAGTCACTTTTCCCTAATCTAAGCAGGTACAAATTTTACCTATTATGTAAAGATTAGGCCATGATGCACAGTACATTAAATGTCCATTTATTTTCCCCAGCAGAGAAAAATGTTTTCTCTCTGGAACTTGCATAGCAATCTATCCATACCTTTCTTCTGTTATTTTCTTTAAACTTCAAACTTGATATTCGGTGATGCATGTATTCCTTTTTTTATTAGATTTTTTTAAAGGTGAGGGACAAATCTAAGTACATTTCTTTCAAATATAAATATAGAGCTTTGCACTGAGTTAAAGCTCATAAAAGAATCAATGAATGAGTGAAAAAATTAGTAACTGGTTGGAAGAGACTGTGGAAAAACTACATACAGGGAGTAGCAAAGACACATCCCAGGAACTAATAATTTCGCCTTCAGGAGCTAATAAGTTAAGGATCTGACACAGATGTGAACACAATTGTGTAGGAGATGTTAGCCTACAAAATTCAAATATTACCAAGTTTTAAAGTGAGTTTTGGGAAACATGATACTCTTTAACGTCTTGGTGGTATGTGTGTTATTATTAATATATTATTGATGCTTACAGACTTCAAATATTAGTCTACTCTTGTTATAAAAGATTAAAAAATAAAACCTATAGTTCAAAGTCCCTTTATCTTTATAATCTTGTTCCTCCTTAATTTTTACTGGGCCTTGTAATTCTTCACCTGATTTTTATATTAAGCTTATCAATAAATATTACCCCTCTGAAAAGGGTCAGCCTCACTGATAGGCAAAATTATCAACTTATTTCTTTGTGGAACATAAACTTATTTCTGATTAATGTAATGTCTCTCCTGTGTATCCCATCATTCCAGTTGTTTTTTTCCTGACTGTTTTTGCTCAATAGGAATTACTGCAGGCAGCTCTGGGATGTAGGCAAGCGGAGGAGGAAACTGGAGAAGCTGCTTGGGTTTGTGAAATATAATTTTCTGTTTACAGAAATATATAATTTATTTTTGATATGTTCACCTTGTATTTATTTTTGAGACTTTGCTAATTTATGTAAGTCTTTGAAGCACTAATATAAATATTAATGATTCAGTAGATACATATTAAGCTGTTACTATGTAAGGTTTATATAGGTATTTGGAATACGGAGGTGAAAGATCTAGTTGTGAATCTCAAGGAGTATACCACGAAGTACAACAAAAATTATATAACAATAATACATTACAGACACTATTACAGAGTTTATAAATTATTTGTTAGCTATTTTCATTTAACATTTAAGTGTTAACATTGCCTTAAAACTTCATGTATATATTATTTCACTTAATCTTCATGACAACCCTACTATTATTATAATACCTGCTTTGCAGACGAGAAAATTGAGACATTTTGCCTATAACATCAAATCACAAAGCTAATAATGGAGGGAATAAGAATTCGATAACATCTTTTTCCAAAAACATGGTTTTAACCACTATATAAAAATGCAAGATTCACAAACATAATATTATTTACACTAAACACACTAAAGTAGTAGAAACAATTTTATTTTAGTGTACTTATAATACACTAAAACTATTTTATTTTAGAGTATTCATAACACACTAAAATACTAGAAACTGGAAACCATCAGAGTTCAGTGTGAGTACAGTGAATGTTCTGTTTTAGTATATAAATAATAGCTTTATTTGATTGAGTCCTTCAAAATATATTTTGTAGAAAGACGTGTGTGTATGGGTGTGGGTGTGTGTGTCTGTGTGGACTGGATGTGAGTGTAGGAGGCCAGTAGAATCCACAGAGAGAGGGCAGAGGAAAGCAGGGAGACAGATTATTCTATCTAGAGAAAATAGCACCAGCAAAATTTCCAAAGAAAATAAATATGATTCATACTTGAAGAATAACATAAAGTTGAGTTTGGACAATGAGGAATACATACATATATTAAAAGATGAAGCTGGAAAATAAATGTGGGGGCCAAACTGTGGAGAGTTTTCTATGCCAAAATAAGCAATTTAGTCTGTATTCAGAAGGTGCCAGTGACACAGTGATAATTTTAGTTGCAGAACAATAGCATCAAAGAGGTGCAATATGATGATGAATCTGACAGGGATGATTTAGAGACACACAAGCCTGGCAGCAGGCAAAGAACGATTTGCCATAGCTTGGGAAGGGAAGAATTAGGTCTTTTCATGCATTATGGCCGTTTACAGGAATTTTAAGTGTTGTATGCTGCAACTTGGTCAAGTCACTTAGCTTCTTTAACTCATGTTTCTCAACATCTGTTGCATCAGAATCCTCTTTGATGTTCCAACAAAGCTATGGCTTAAAAAAAGCTAAAAAAAAAAAAAAAAAGCTAAAAAAATGAAGCAAATCATACATATGTTTTATCAGCAATCTTAAAAATTTATAGACTTTATGTAGTCATGGTAAGGCAAAGGTCTTTCCATTTCTAACACAGTGTAATTTTAAGGTCGTATCACTCTGAACATCTACATTTACATCTGCTTTTATTCTTTGTCTCCATCCTTCTAAATAAATACAGAGATTATCCTGATTTTTAAAATCTCTTTTCCTTTGCACTGTCTACATACTATTATATGGAATTCACTTATTTTTATAAATTAAATTATTGAACCTCAGCCCTCATTCTTCTGCTAATCAAACTGCTTAAACTTGGTTTCCTGGCCTGTATGAAATTTCCTTACTTTCCACAGTTATTTCAAAATTGCAAGCTATTAAGAGTCCTTGGATCTTCAAAAGAATATGAAAGCAATTACTAATTATAAGCTTCATAAAATTAGCCTGTCAGAAGTAGTTATTTAACAATATACATTGTGGGAAGATGCAAAGAAATGTAACCCTGATCTCTGTCACTAAGTGCTGAGGAATTTAAAATATAAACTCACATGAATAAAGAAAGTATAATTTTCTGCCTTGTTTATAATGTATTAACCCTACCTTAGATTTAACTATGATTTACAGCCATATTCCATTAGAATTTCACCTTTCCCTTCAATAAAGCAAACAATAAATTCCTGCAAATAAGGTACTACAATTAATTGAAAGAAGAACCTCGGTGAAAGATAAAAGTTTAAGGAAGATGTGTACCTATAAGGAAATTTAGGTCTGAGTATATTAACTTCTTTATATAAATTAATAGTTTTGAGTAGCTTTAGATGTATAATAATTATAATATTTAGTTTTAAATCTAAAATATAGTTGTTAACTAAAATATTTTGAATCACTAATTATTGTTATTATGCTTACTCAAATAACAACCACTATTTTTTCAAAAATTCTACACTTTAGGAAAAAAATCTCAGCAACTACAACTACAAAGCAACTATAATTGTTTAATAATTGTTTTGATAAAAATGCATTTTACCTATTTAATGGTAAAATTATTCCAGTTATATAAATATAATCCAGTTTAATATTCATGTATAATCTCTATGATTGATCTTTAGTTATATCTAGGCTAGAATTTTTTTTACTGATTAAAACCTCTGTTTCTAGAGAATCTCTACTAGAATCTAAAATAGAAGGAAAGATAATATTTATTATTGAGCTAGACAACATTCCCAGAAAGTTTATCTACAGACTGAATCTAAGTAGAAATGCTTTGCCTCTGCCCTCATTGACTTCAACTTTTTTTTTTTTTTTTTGAGACAGAGTTTTGCTGTTGCCCAG
The DNA here is from genome assembly GCF_000001405.40 of Homo sapiens. Classification (NCBI taxonomy): domain Eukaryota; kingdom Metazoa; phylum Chordata; class Mammalia; order Primates; family Hominidae; genus Homo; species Homo sapiens. The sequence goes on from NC_000007.14 coordinate 84,075,219, forward strand.
GCTGGAGTGCAATGGTGTGATCTCGGCTCACTGTAACCTCCACCTCCTGGGTTCAAGTGATTCTCCTGCCTCAGCCTCCCGAGTAGCTGGGATTACAGGCACCTGCCACCATGCCAGGCTGATTTTTTGTGTTTTTAGTAGAGACGGCCAGGCTGGTCTTGAACTCCTGACCTCAGGTGATCCACCCGCCTCGGCCTCCCAAAGTGCTGGGATTACAGGCATAAGCCACTGCACCTGGTCTTTTTTTTTTTTTTTTTTGAGACAGAGTCTAGCTCTGTCACCAAGACTGGAGTGCAATGGTGCAGTCTTGGCTCACTGCAAACTTTGCCTCCTAGATTCAAGTGATTCTGCTGCCTCAGCCTCCCAAGTAGCTGGGATTACAGGCATGTGCCACTGCCCCACTAATTTTTGTAGTTTCAGTAGAGAAGGTGTTTTACCATATTGGCCAGGCTGATCTCGAACTCCTGGCCTCAAGTGATCTGCCCACCTCGGTCTCTCAAAGTGCTGGGATTACAGAAAGGAGCCACTGTGCCTGGCCATTGACTTTGACTTCTATTGTATCCATTCAAGCACTTCTCTATTGTAGCAGAAATCTTACCTTTGATATTGGTCTCCAGGCATTATATGGCTTTTCTGTGACTAAGAATTTCCCCATTACTTAACCTTTAAGGTGCATGTAGTAAAAATATTATGGTTTATCAATTATGAAATCCAGATTCTGTGCCTCATTGTAAAATTATTGATTGCATATTCTAAAACAAGTTTTAAAAATATCTTTGAAGTGTCAATATTCTTATCTATGTAATGGAAATCCTCTACCGATTCCAGGATTAAATGAAATAAAAATGTGTATTAACATAAGGAAGCATATGCAAAACCTATAGAAATTTAGTTAATTATAATTTATTACCACAGATACACTTATGGGACACTTATGGTATATCTTTGTTATGATAGATAGCATATGAATAATTCATTTTCTAGGATAATTATTGCTAATAACTGTTAAGCAGCTATTAGCCAAGAACAATCTTTTAAGTGCTTTGTAGGTATTTACTTTTTTATCCTCATAATGCCCCTTGAAATACATGGTGTGATTGTTCCACTTTTGTAGATAAAGTAGCAAAGAGACAGAAACCAAGTAAAGTAATGATTAATTTCACACAGCTGGTTTGTAGAAAAACCACATAACCTATTTCCAGAAACAGTAGTTAGTGGAGAGATCATAAAAACCTGATTTTTTTGTACTTGATTTACTCAACTATGCTACTTTATTGATACACTTCAGACATAAAGAGCTGTTATACCATATATACTGTCTCTTAATATGCCTTTGGAGTTCCTGTAGTTCAAGCATATATTAGATCCCGAATTCACCTGAACTGAATTTACCATGACAGATAATGGTGTATTTAACATGGTCTTCATGTTACACTATTAACATAGTAAAGGTAAATAGAATGAATTAACGTATTTTCTACTTCATTTGCAAAAATATATAAAGTCACTTTGTTTCTAAGTTTGTGAAAAGTTAGTATCATGTTACCCATTCCCATTCTAATAACAATATGTACATGCACAGAGCCCTTAGAGTTGGATTAAATAGGATTTGCCCTCTTAAATTTAAGGGACCTGAATTTACCTGGGTTCCCCCAAAAAACATTGGGGCCATAATTCATCTGCTTTTTGTCATCATTAAAATTAATGGTAGAAACCAAGGAAAACAGAAAGCATGTGTGTTCAAACTTCATGTAGATTATCTTTTTAATAGGAGCTTAATTTGAGTTTATGCAGATATCATATGCCTGCCATGGTATAATTATTCAGCTATGAATGCCTGTTAACTCCCAAGATGTATAACAATGAAAGGGAAAATTCTATCTTGGCTAGAATGAGAAAGTCCAGAACATGAACAATTTACAACATTTTGCCCCAGTGAGACCTGGTAAAGTAAGCTGAGTCAGAAAGCAAATCAATGGTCTACAAAAAGTAAAGTAATAGAACAATTGACTTGATCTCTCCATATGTGCATTTTAAGTCTTCTATATTCAAAACACCATTATTTTTATTTGTGATCTTATAATTTCTTAAAGCATCAATGTTTTTAGTTCCAAATTGTGAAAGTAAAGCTATTATTTTTTTACCACTTCTTTTTATAAACGTGTTTGTCAAATCCATGATTAGACATCACTGGGAAATTTTATCAACCTAAATGTAAATATGTCAACAGAAAGGAGCATATGTCCTGTAAAAAGAATTGGAATCTAGTCATATGGTTTCTTTACATTTCAAGATTTTTTTCAGAGATGCCATCTGGGAAGTGACGAGGCCAAAAGGATTAACATTTTATTTATACCAAACTTTGTTTCAGCAAAGCCTTGTCATTCAAGCGCTGTCATAATGGTATGATGTAACTATATGATTTTCTTTTAGCAAATTAGTGAAGACTTCAAAAATAATTGTTATTTTGACAAAGTTATTCTGGGAAAGAGACAATTCTGTCAATTCTTAGCGATAATGCACATTTTAGAGAATAATTTGGGAATTTGGAGGATCCTTAAAAATGTCCATAAAATTTAACTTGATTATTTTACTGTGAATATATCTTTATGAAAAGAAAAGAAAAAAAATCAAAGCAAGAAGTTCATCATGGTGAACTCAGTATTTAAAATACTGAAAAATTTTAATGCCAGTTGGGGGGAATGGCAAAGTATTGCCTAACTATGTAATTGATTATGAGATAGGTGTTAAAAATAGATGTTTAATAACTCTACTATTTCATTGTGGAAGCAACATGAAATATTGTGACAACTATTTAAGATGTGTGGAGAAACACTTTGAAGAAAATGCATTAAAATATTAGGTCTTTAACATATGGAATTTGGGAATTTATTCTATTTTATAAATGTTTTTCTCTATTTTAAATACTTTTTACAATGACCATACAAGATATGTATTACAATAAGTAGGGTCCCTGTATCCCATTATGTAAGTCCTTAAACTGACAGTGCATGGAGTGAATCTAGCCCAGAGACATGCTTTATTTACTTGACACAGAGTTGTGAAATCTTGAATTTGAAGGCCTTTTCATGAAACCTAAGGGGTTTTCAAGGGAGAATTTAATGTTTCAATTACTCCCTATTATTTTGCATTTTTAAAAAAGCTATTACTATGTTTCTATATTTTTATATCACCTGCATGAGCACTGTAGACATTTGAGTTTGCAACCCCTCTAAACCATTGTAACTCATTTGATCTCCAAAACTATCCTGCATTTATCTTCTAAATACTTGCCATTCTTTAGCTTTACTTCAAATAGCAAAGTTTTCAGAGGGTTGTGGTCTTGCTCTCCTGTCTCATGGTGGAGGTACTATATAGTTTAGCAATTAATCATGGTTGGACAAGGAAGTTAATGGAAACGTCAAAGTGATTTGAAACTCTAGTTTAATTGTCATAGTATCATAAATCTCCATAGCTTTTCACTCATTGCTTTATTATTATACATGTAATTATGTAATATATATGTTATATATACACATATATATACACACATACTGCTATTTAACAGTATGTCTCTGTTTTATTTAGAAAAAGAAAACCCTGACTGTTTCAAATATTTATGTCTAAATTAAGTGTTGAACTGTAGGGATATATATTTAATGATTGCAAAATACAGGCAGGGCGGTTCTTAGTTACGTAGATACTAAGTGACTTCTTTTGCTATCAGCTTAATCACCATAGAGGTACTCTGTATTACCAGTTGAATTGACTTTTAGGTCATTATTTATAATCCACTATAATTAATACTTGAATTATTTATAAATAATTTCTCTCACTGGTAAAAAATTTTTGTCTAGAGATCAAGACATCTTTGCATCAAATAAACAATTATAATTACATTATCTAGAATGAATCAGGCATTTAATTTGTTTTTTTAACTACAATGTTTGATGTGAAAAATTGTACTGTAGGCAAAATTAATTCAAGATGGATTAAAGACTTAAACATTCGACCTAAAACCATAAAAACCCTAGAAGAAAACCTAGGCATTACCATTCAGGACATAGGCATGGGCAAGGACTTCATGTCTAAAACACCAAAAGCAATGGCAACAAAAGACAAAATTGACAAATGGGATCTAATTAAACTAAAGAGCTTCTGCACAGCAAAAGAAACTACCATCAGAGTGAACAGGCAACCTACAAAATGGGAGAAAATTTTCGCAACCTACTCATCTGACAAAAGGCTAATATCCAGAATCTACAATGAACTCAAACAAATTTACAAGAAAAAAACAAACAACCCCATCAAAAAGTGGGCCAAGGATATGAGCAGACACTTCTCAAAAGAAGACATTTAGGCAGCCAACAGACATATGAAAAAATGCTCATCATCACTGGCCATCAGAGAAATGCAAATCAAAACCACAATGAGATACCATCTCACACCAGTTAGAATGGCAATCATTAAAAAGTCAGGAAACAACAGGTGCTGGAGAGGATGTGGATAAATAGGAACACTTTTACACTGTTGGTGGGACTGTAAACTAGTTCAACCATTGTGGAAGTCAGTGTGGCGATTCCTCAGGGATCTAGAACTAGAAATACCATTTGACCCAGCCATCCCATTACTGGGTATATACCCAAAGGACTATAAATTATGCTGCTATAAAGACACTTGCGCACGTATGTTTATTGGGGCACTATTCACAATAGCAAAGACTTGGAACCAACCCAAATGTCCAACAATGATAGACTGGATTAAGAAAATGTGGCACATATACACCATGGAATACTATGCAGCCATAAAAAATGATGAGTTCATGTCCTTTGTAGGGACATGGATGAAATTGGAAATCATCATTCTCAGTAAACTATCGCAAGGACAAAAAACCAAACACTGCATGTTCTCACTCATAGATGGGAATTGAACAATGAGAACACATGGACACGGAAGGGGAACATCACACTCTGGGGACTGTTGTGGGGTGGGGGGAGGGGGTAGGGATAGCATTAGGAGATATCCCTAATGCTGAATGATGAGTTAATGGGTGCAGCACACCAACATGGCACATGTATACATATGTAACAAACCTGCACATTGTGCACATGTGCCCTAAAACTTAAAGTATAATAATAACAAGAAAAAAAGAGACTACCTAAAAAAAAATAAAAAATTATACCGTAGGCTTAAAATTACCATTCATATTTATTGGACATTTATCATTCCAAATTATATTTTCATTTGGAGAAAACATACTAAATCTTTATTATAAATTATTTTGAGTAGTTGCAATTTTGATTAATATCTTACTCAGTTTATAATTTGCAGCTTATAATTCTTTTTTTTTTTTTTTTTTTTTTTTTTTTTTGAGACGGAGTCTCGCTCTGTCGCCCAGGCTGGAGTGCAGTGGCGGGATCTCGGCTCACTGCAAGCTCCGCCTCCCGGGTTCACGCCATTCTCCTGCCTCAGCCTCCCAAGTAGCTGGGACTACAGGCGCCCGCCACTACGCCCGGCTAATTTTTTTGTATTTTTAGTAGAGACGGGGTTTCACCGTTTTAGCCGGGATGGTCTCGATCTCTTGACCTCGTGATCCGCCCGCCTCGGCCTCCCAAAGTGCTGGGATTACAGGCGTGAGCCACCGCGCCCGGCCGCAGCTTATAATTCTTTAAAAAATATACTTTAATCTCTGTGATTAAGAACTTTTAAAGTTTACATGTGGGGACAATATTAACACATACAAAAATATGAAAATAGTAAAAATAATTAATTACTATAACCTATGACATAGATTCCAACATAATTTGTGTTACATTTGTTCAAATTAAAACAATGCAAGAGGTTTAAATAAGTTGAAGAAAGAATGCACATGATTCATATATATATATGAGATCATTGCATATATATGTAATATATGTTTATTATCTATGTAGCTAGACCTAGATATAGATCCATATTTAGAAGAATGACCCAACCTGAAGAATGGACTGATGGGGGCATGATAGGCAAGAAAAATTGGGCAAATTTATGTTTTCTAGCTGTCTAGGCACTATTGAATTTAAAAAACTGGTAAAAATTTCCCAAGCTTGTAGGGCCGGGCGCGGTGGCTCATGCCTGTAATCCCAGCACTTTGGGAGGCCAAGGAGGGCGGATCACGAGGTCAGGAGATCAAGACCACCCTGGCTAACACGGTGAAACCCCGTCTCTACTAAAAATACAAAAAAATTATCTGGGCGTGTTGGTGGGTGCTTATAGTCCCAGCTACCTGGGAGGCTGAGGCAGGAGAATGGCGTGAACCCGGGAGGCGGAGCTTGCAGTGAGCCAAGATCACGCCAGTGCACTGTAGCCTGGGCGACAGAGCGAGACTCCGTCTCTTAAAAAAAAAAAAAAAAAAAAAAGATTTCCCAAGCTTATGTGTTATCAATGTCGATGAGTAATACAAACAATCATAGTCAGTCTCTAAAAACTATGCAAGCAAATAAATAAACTGAATGGAAATATGCAGACATTAAAACATTACTTTGGACTACTTATTACATCCATATATGCATATGTACATACAAGTGTATAAATAAATTCTATATATATTTTATCTCATATATTTTAAGTAACATAAATATGCATATGACTTAATGTTACATGTTATATTTATAATCTCTTACCTATGCTCTTTTGTTTACAAATATTTAAACATCTAGATACACACAAAACTACAATGTATATTTTTGAAGAATAAAGAAACATTTAATTATCAGATTAACTAAAAGTTTCCCTGTTTTAATTTTAATTTCTGCTCTCCTCCTTACTTTTATTTTTATTTTTTATAACACTACAGGGAACAAGGTTAAGGGTGGTTTGCCCCAAAGTGGTAGAAGAAAAGGACTTAAAAATGAATTTTACCTTTGAGTACCTTCTCTGTCTGACTCATGGTTTTGCTTTAATGTCATTCTCTTCTAAGTTGTATCATCCTAGTGATATTGACATGTCCTTGAGTACACAGAAGCAAGAGGTATATGATTTTGAAAGAGAACATATTACATGTGTTTCATTCATTTCCAATTGTAAGCTATTTATCTGAGCTATGTTCTAGCTACAGAGCTACACGGCAAGAATGAGCAGCAGGAAGTGGGAAGTGGAAAGTCGAAAGAACTTAATTTGCTATTAACAGGTCATAAGAAAGGAGTACAAAAGAAAATGAAAAAGGCATTTGATACATTGTGAAGTCGTAACTCCTGAGAAGTTAAGGTAACTTCTAATATTATAATCATAACTCCAGAAATTCTTTATTACTAAATAAAACAAAAGCTACTTGGTAAAGAAATATATTTTAAGTCATCTTTATTTATGATCATGTATAAAGACACTATTCCTTACTTTAAAAAGAAAAGGTTATATTTTGTTAAACTTGAAATAATTTAGTCCCAAGGTCCTTTTAAAGGGTTGATTAAGAAAAACTTAGGAGCATGTTGAATATGGAATATCTACAAGCAAAGTCAAAGATGCTATTAGCTTTTGAGTTCAAATAATTTCTATAAATTACTGCTATTATTCAAACTCAAAAAAAGTAGAAAAACTACATTTTGGCTTTGGCAAAATTAAAATATTGCAGATGTCATCATCTCAGAGCCATCATATACACCTAAAAATGCACATATTCAAATCTTGTCTCCTTTTTACAGGGTCACTTAAATAATGTATGATGGGATGATATTCTTACCTGTATTATAATAATTATAATAAAAATAGAAGTTTCATTCTTTAAATTTTATGTCAGAATTTGAGTCATTGGACATTTGTCTTCACAGTAATATATAACAACATTTTAAAACCTTAGATTGTCAAAATGTAAACCAGGCCCAAATTTGATTGAAAACCAAATTAATTAATTTTTTTTGGTAAATAAACCAATGTATGATAAGATTTCCTATCTTTAAATTTATATTAAAGGGCATTAAATGATGGGCATCTGTTATGAGATGGTTTATTTGTACATATATATATACACACACACGTATTTGTACTTTACTATATACTGTTATTATATCAAATACTAATTTGAAACCATATTTCTTTTTTATTTTTTTCTTTTTAATTATTATGGATACATAATAGTTGTACACATTGTGGGGTAAATGTGATGTTTTGATGCAAGTACACAATGTGTAATGATAAATCAGGGTAATTGGGATATCTATCACCTTAGGCATTCATCATTTTTTTTGTGTGTGTGTTAGGAACACTCCAATTCTACCCTATCAGTTGTTTTGAAATACACAATAAATTACTGTTAACTAAAGTCCTCCTATTGCTCTATCAATCACTAAATCTTCTTCCTTTTATTTAATTGTCTTTTTGTTCCCATTAACCATTCCCTCTTCATATCTACCTCCCGACTATTCTTCCTAGCCTCTGGTAACCATCACCAGATTTCTTTTAAAATTTGCTATATAATTGTATATCAATTCAAATAATACCAAAATAATGACTGACTCAGATAAGTAATAACCATGACTTTTAAGTAATAAAGACTTTTTATCTTAACATTTTATATAATCCATCCAAATATATAAAAACACTAAAGTTCAGAGAAGTTAAGTGACTATTCAATATCAAGATTCAAAGTTTTCAAATCTTTCCCATTAAATAATTTGGCTCTTTCCGTGATAACCTCTGTGGGTTACTGTTATATTTATTATAAGCTCATAGTTAACGATATAAAAGGCATGATTCCATTCACAATAACAGCTAAATCTCAAGTGTCACTACTAATTATATTATGTTTCTTTTTGCTGACCTGTTTCAAGTCCAAATTTCTGCTTGGCTGGGCATCACTGATCATACAAGCAGTGGCCAAAAGTAGGTCTAAAAGCACTAATCATTTCAATGCAATTTCAGCTGGCCATATGTGTTTAATGCCTTTTGATTTTTGAGTTTAATATGGAAGAACCATTTATAATTTTTCTACAGTTCTCTATTCCTTTCAAGTTGCTAAGAATTATTTATTTACTTATTTTCCTAATAATGCTTTCAAAAAGCTGATTATAAAGGCCAATGACTACCTGGCTATTGTTTTTACTTAGTCTTTGAAATTATTTTGAATGGTCAAATAGTTATAACAAAAAATCATATTTATATTTTGTTTGAAAATAATTACGAAATATAGCAGGGGTGATAAAAATTACACAGTAGGAAAAATATGTCTAACTAGTGAATTGTAATTCTATTCAAGGAGTATTACAAATTTACATTCAGAAACATCTGAAAATATAAAGGAGACCTATCAGTTTGTTCGACAGACTGTAAATTGAGAATAAATGAAAAAAAAATAGGTAAAATCATTTACAATGTAATCTGGTCACTCCAATGTTCCATAACATAAATCATAAAATAATTCCTATTCTATTTTGTTTAGAATGCCTAATGGCTAATTTGAACTTGCAAGTATTTGGGGGAAAAATGAATATAGTATATTAAATGTTAGCAAAATAAATGTGGTTGTTCTATGTGACATAAAAAGTTCTTTTAAAAAACGCAAAGCACTTTTTTATAGAGCTTCTTATTTTGTGGTTTTAAAAAATCAGCATTCCTGGAATTTGACCTTAATTTCCCATCATTTAAATGTATGTTCCCTGATATGATATGTATTGGAAAGCTAGCTCTTGTTTATTTGAAGACACTGAAATATTGCTGATTCCAAGATAGTATGTGTAGGGAAAAATGGAAAACTTAGCTTTACAGTTGATTACTAAAGAGCCACAACAATACCTATTTGCCTAAAATATCCTGTTGCTTAAGTCAAAATCTCTGACCTTGAACAAAATAAGGTAGGGATCTAATCACAATGGTAAGAGAATTTTTTTTTTCTTTATACATACATTTAGAAAGGGATCTCTTTCAAATAAAGAGGATATCTATGTAAAGTAATACCTACCAAAGTGGATTTCTCAAGGAATGTTAAGCATAAGGGTCAAACATGAACATGTGTCAATATTAGTGAGGGTGGATGCTTCATTTGGAATGAGATTTTTTTTTCTAACTGCATCAATGGACTGCATTGAAGTTTAGGAGGAGCAAAGGGAGGATGAGTGGGGGTGTCATAGGAAATGAGAACATAGATGTAGGAGGATATCATATTACACAGGGATTTGAAACTGACCATAAAATCGTAGACACTATTCTGGGAGAAAAAAAAAAGTAAACTAGTGGGCTGGATGAGGGCAATGAGTGAACACATATGGAAGTGAAAAACTGTAGTAAGACCAGGAGAAGAGAAATAATGATAGGAACTGAACTGAGGAATATCCTGAATCATACACTAAAGCTATAAACTGTAGCACAACTGTAAATTTTAAAATGTTTATTTTTTTGCAAATAAAAATGTCTGTTAACATTTAACAGGGAAAATGATTAGAAACATGGAATTAATTTGTTGAACTATTTATATAATAAAATTAATTTCCTCTAAAACACCCTTTATTTTATCCTAATTTTTTGATATCTTTCTTAACCTTTTAAAGTAAATGAAGCCAGCATTCTCCTCTAAACTTTTCTATCTTCCTTTTCCTTTTAAAAATAAATGAAGCAAAATGGAAAAGATGCATATGCATGGGTTGTCAGAAAGAAAAGTCTTGTTGTTAGTCAGAAGCTCTGACATACCCTCTTTTCTGGAAGACGGATGTACAACTGAACCTTAAATATATTGTCAACCCAGACTGTTTGGCTCCCACAATTTTCTTTTTGCCATTGTTGGACACATTGTAAGAGTTTCGGCTTCCAAAGATATGTAGCCACACAGAATCAGGGAAGGGGCCAGAATAATGCTATTTTTTCTGCTCTTCTACCCCTGTTGCTATTATAACTTCTCTACGAGTGCTCTGTGTGATAAAGTCACAGAGCCAGAGCATATATGTCAAAGGCAGAAAGCCTGCTGCTGATGTGGCTACTACAATCACTACTACTGCTGTCAACCTTTGCCAGCACTCTCCCTGGTACATGCATTAAACCACAGCAGCACAAATTGAGAACACAAGAAGATGCTGGGTCCTGTGCTCGTTCCTACAACAGTCTCTAGAATTAGCATACCTGGCTTTGAGTCCAGAATCTGCTGCTCTGTAGTTGTGTAATCATGACCTTAATCTCCTTAAGGCTGTTTGTTCCTATGCGATGATAACATATACACTCTTTGCTATTATTATTTTTAATATTTCATATTATATTTATATTTTATATATTATTATATTCATATATAATATGTATTATTATATTATATTTACATATAATATATTATTATATTATATTTATATATAATATATTATTATATTATATTTACATATAATATATTATTATATTATATTTACATATAATATATTATTATATTATATTTATAATCCTCACAATTCTCACAAAAATAAAGAAAATAACTTGTGCTCCAGAGGGCACAACTCATATATATGTATATATATGGAATATATGTATATATATGGAACATCATATATATGTATACATATATATGTGTGTATATATATATTTTTTTCCACACTCACCTTTCAAGTATTGGCTGTGATTACATCAGCTAGGTTTTTGCCCAGCTTTCTGATAGACTTCTTTGGTGCTCTATCCTTCTTTACCCAATTACTTCATCACATACTCCACTAAACTTTATAATGCATGCTTTCATCATGTTAAGTAGCTACTCAGTAATTCTCACAGCTCTCTCTTTTCATATACATGATTTTCTTTCAAGAGTCTTCATAATTTGGCTTAATCCCAGTCATCAAATTTGTCTTTCTACTATTTTGTAATATTCGAAATGATTTGTAAAGAACATTCTCTTTATTATGCAACAAAGATGGTACATTTGCTATTAATTCTATGTCTTTTTTGTTGTATTATTCCTAATGAAAATATTTACGTTGTTGCATCCATTTATACAAATTCCAGGCCATTATCAGTAGCTTATCATAGTTACTGTAGTAAGAGGTTAGTACTCATAAGGATCTGAGTTCAAATCATGGCTCTGTGATTCATTAGAAGTGTGATTTTGTGTTATTTAACATTTTAATTCTCATTTTTCTCATCTATAAAATGCAAAAAGTCCCATCTGCCTGTTTAGAATGTTACAGGAATTACACAAAATAACTTAATTGGCATAGTGTGTAGACATGGAGTCATTCATTTCTACAGCATTTGTTGTGATCCTACTTCATGCCAGGGGCTAGTGTTCTACAGCTGGATAAGACAGATCCACCATTAGTCCTCTGGTGCTTACAGTATTGTAGGGAAGATCGGCATTAAACATAAACTTTCACAATATTCATGTAATTTTAATGAATATTCCTACAAGGATACTATCATATGAAAATATATGATGCTGATTGAACTTGGGGACTGGAAATGAAATAGAGATGGCTTCCCTAGAGGACATCTAAGTAGAGATGTAGGGGAGTAAACAGAAGTTATGCCAAAATGTGTTTTGGTGTAACTCAATGTGCAGTAGTTGATTATTGTTATATTGGCATTGTTGTTACTACTACCTTCTTGAATCCTTTTCTGAACACTTCATTCCCATGAACTTCTGTTCTCTGAAAACCTATTGCACAGCATTTTATTCTTTTACTATTGTTGGCCTTCCTCTATGTTTTTGCATTTTGTTTTACTCTTATTCCACTTTGCCTTGCAGTTTTCTTCTCATTTGCTGAAATGATCCTATTCTTGTTTTGACTCTTTTTGGAACTAGCTCAAATACTCTTAGGCATAATTAAATATCCCTGTTTTAGGGATCTTGTAGCACTTTGTAAGTAACTGTATTATACCAGTCATTGCTCTATGTTACATTTATTTTTCCCCCAAATATGTAGTTCTGAGGGCGGGAAACATGTTAAATTTATCTTTTCATTATAAATCCACATGCTGTCATCACAAAATAGAACAAAAAAGTGTTTATTGAAAGTATGCTTGCCAGGCGCAGTGGCTCATGCCTATAATCCCAGCACTTTGGGAGGCCGAGGCGGGTGGATCACAAGGTCGGGAGATCGAGACCATCCTGGCTAACACGGTGAAACCCCGTCTCTACTAAAAATACAAAAATTAGCTGGGCATGGTGGCGGGTGCCTGTAGTCCCAACTACTCAGGAAGCTGAGGCAGGAGAATCGCTTGAACCCGAGAGGCAGAGGTTGCAGTGAGCCAAGATCGCACCACTGCACTCCAGCCTGGGCTACACAGGGAGACTCCGTTTCCAAAAAAAAAAAGAAAGTATGCTTGACAACTATGCTAGTTTTATGTCTCTAAGTAAATTCTAAAAGTTACTTAAGGGGAAGATTCCTGTCTTAATTCAATTTTATTTATCATTATCATAATATTGTAAAAATGGTATGTGTGTGTCTATATGCTGGTTGATTGGGAATACATTTTTGACATCTATTTAAATATGATAGAATCATTAATTAACATTTGACAATAAAATTTGACATATTCAGAAAACAATATGAAATGCATGATTCTATTTATTTTTCCACCTTCCTGCCTAACATTAAAACTACAAGAATATGAAATAGTAGTTGGAGAATTTAAAAATGCATAGGGTGCAATTTGATCTAGTTGATGTTTAAGTTACTTGCAGCCATGATTAATACATGAAAGTATTCCTTTGTGAGTGAGAAGCCTCCCTTGTTGCTCAGAATGTTCTTTCATGTTAATGTTTTTTTTTCAGGATTTTAAACAGTGAGGGAGGGGGTTTTATTTGTTCAAAAAAGCAAAGTTATTTTCTTAACTTTTCAGAGCTTACAGTAAGAGTAAAAAAAAAAAGGCATTGAAGTAATAATTCTCCTAAGACACAATAATGAGTCAATTTAGAGCTGTTAGGAAGAAGAATGCCATTTGGTGAAAACGTATATGTAAACACTCATCTTGAGCACCACTTTGCAGCATATTGTCAGAGGAGTAGTGCAAAATACTTCCCTTTAAAGAAGAATAGAAATCTCAAAATCTCACTTAGTTTAGTCATAACCGTTCTGTTTAGTAGTCTGTTTGCAGGAGAATATATGCTGTTGTATACGCACATATAATGCAACTAGTATAACTGGTACTAATTTTGCCATTTTCAAAATGAATGAAGTCCTATGCAAATGCAAATATGTCAACAAGAGTAAGAATTTTCAACTACACAGGTAACAATCTACAAAATTTGTCAATTATTACCATATGAATAAATACCATATGGTAAATGTTATTTCATAGATAAAAAACAAGGAGTGTTAAAATTATTGATTTTAATGTAATTATGGGTTTGGAGTCAACCATATAAGTCTGTAGCCTTCAGTCATTTGACTGAAATCATACACATCTAAATTACATAAACTTATGCTATAATTGCAAATTGTCTAAACATCTAATAAAAAATATAGTCATTCCTTCAAAGCAATTATTAGTATTTGGATAGTAAATCATTATAGGGCTTCTTTTATAAATTGATTGCTTTTTATAATTATACAATTCTAAAGGATTTTTATTTATATACACATTTGGTAAATATATGTATACAGATATACAACTTATAGACATGTACTGTGTATCACTTTATATACCTAGATTTATTATTAACTGAAAAGGAGCCTTTTGTACTATCAGACTAAATTTTAAAGGTTATGAACTGTGCTAAAGATGCAATATTGATTTGTAAACTTGATACATTTAATAACTATATAGAGACTAAAGTAGGACATTTATAAAATTCATTCTTAGAAAAATATATTTTAAAATACTATTATTATATGATGGATGATTTGAAGTTAGATCTATTTTGTTATAGAAAATAAATTTGAAAAATTATGCTCATGAAAATTTTAAAGATTTTGAAGTTTAATCCCATATATTCTCTGAGTAACAAAATAAGACAAAATATTATACAAGATAGTTTTCATTTTTTATGTTGCAGTGGAGGAGTAATTTTATGCAGTCCCCAGATTTAAAGTTTGATTTGGAAAGAAGTTGGTAAGAACTTTTAAGTAAAACTATGTGGGTTTAGGTACTAGGTAAGTGAGTTTTAATATTACATAGGAAAAATCAGCATGTGTATTTAATAAAAAGATGATAAATTTTCATTCAGAGAACTAATGACTGCTAGATACACTCCCTCCTTTCTGTTTCTAAAACTTCTTTATGTATTGATCCTAAAATAATGGACAGGCAATACAATGTTTGCAGACGATTTGTCTAAAACTGTGCAAGAATAGCCTACTACATGGGAATAGCATGTTCTCTCTGCAAGGAGGAAAGAGTCAACCTAAATGCAAAAAAAACAAAACACAAGACCCACGTTGAACAAATAATGCAAACAAGCATTAAAGCTTATGTGTGGAAGAAATGAAAATAAATAAAAGGGGAACCAAATGTATGCTTTTAACTAAGCAATTTTCTTTCTTTAAAAAACAAGAATATTATTTAATATTGATAATTTTAAAGTCATAATGATGTTGACACTGGTATCTATATTTATTTATTGAAATTAATAAATATTATCAAATATGTAAAATATTCCAGATACTACACTGTAGAAAATTGTGTAGGTTGGCCGGGCGTGGTGGCTCACGCCTGTAATCCTAGCACTTTGAGAGGCCGAGGCAGGTGGATCTCTTGAGGCCAGGGGTTCAAGACCAGCCTAGCCAACATGGTGAAATTCCATCTCTGCTAAAAATACAAAAATTAGCTGGGCGTGGTGGCTCATGCTTGTAATCCCAACTACTCAGGAGGCTGAGGCCAGAGAATCACTTGAACCCGGGAGACAGAGTTTGCAGTGAGCTGAGATCACGAGATCATGCCATTGCACTGTAGCCTGGGGAACAGAGTGAGACTCCAACTCAAAATGAAAGAAAGAAGGAAAGAAAGAGAAAGAAAGAAAGAAAGAAAAAGAAAGAAAGAAAGAAGGAAGGAAGGAAGGAAGGAAGGAAGGAAGGAAAGAAAGAAAGAAAGAAAGAAAGAAAGAAAGAAAGAAAGAAAGAAAAGAAAAGAAAGAAAAGAAAGAAGGAAGGAAGGAAAGAACGAAGGAAAGAGAAAAAGAAAGAAAAGAAAGAAAGAAAGAAAAAGAAAAAGAAAGGAAGGAAGGAAGGAAGAGAGAGAGAGAAAGAGGAGGGAAGGAAGGAAGAAAGGAAGAAAGGAAGGAAGGAAGGAAATTGTGTAGGTTAATATAAAGAATATTCTTTTACACAAAATATTTTATATTTCACATCTAACATAAAGAGTAAATGCCAAACTAAAATAGCACACACCTTATCAGGGCATGCTGGGTTAAGAATGTGGGTGGAGATTTAGAATGATAAATATTTACTGTCACAACCAGAAGCTATTCAGCCGAGTGCTTTACTAGGTTATCTACATTTGATCACAGTATTCCTTTGAGGTAAAACAATATAATTAAACTTCAGTCTAACACTGTGGATAATCCAAAGTGGTTTCTAAAAATTCAGTCAGGGTTAGAGAAAACTGTTTTAATTTGGCTCCAATTTTTAGAGACTATCTTCATGCTTTTCTCAAGATGAATATCCAGAAACTTAATGATGTATTAATAACCGTGAGTGAAGAGTTTAAATAGAGCCAGTTTGATGATAATGTTCTTTTTCTAACCTGCAAAGCACAGAATTCTGAGATGCTTTATTTAGAATCTAAATCAGTAAGTTATGAACAAATGAAATTCCATAATATTAAAATGTTATATTTTTTCCTAACAGATATGCAGGTTGTATTTTTATATAAGTCTACACACTACACTAAATTCTGAATTCTAGGCAGAGTACCCTAAGAATACTCTATCAGTATCAGAGTATCAGAATACTCTTGAGTATTAATGAATTAATGTTATACATGTGCCAAATGAATACGTGCTGTTCACATATATTTTTTAAAAGGCATTTTTTTAAATGCTCCCTCTAAATCTTCTCAACCTTTGAAATACCTGATTGTTAAGCAGGTTGTGTCATCTCCTGCCAATTGAAATCTTGATGGAGGAAGATACAAAGCAATTTTTTTACCCAAATAAAATTTACCATTATCCTCAGAGAGCTTTAATTTGAAACTCAAACAGTGGAGCATAGTTTTCTTGTAGTGCCACTTTCAGTGATTATCTTTTGAATGTCCGTGTGTACATACGAATGCCTTTGTTTCTACTTGTCTCCTTTGCACTCTCACTTTAAAACTCCCACTTCCTTCCTGTGCGGGGAAGAAAACTGCCGCTGAACATCACAACACTTTTCATATTTATTGCTTCCTGTGTGTCAGTTTCCAGGAATAAAATGTAAACTTTAACATAAACATGCTACTTTTTTTCAATGTGATAAATGAGTGAAAAGATCTCCACAAAATTTTTGTGTCATACCTAATTCAGAATATCGAAGTTTGCAGACAAAGAATTTCTATTCTATTTTAAGCAAAGGGCATGAAATAAAAGTTAACAGATACTATTATCTAGCAAATTCCAGTATTAGCCAGATTGGTTTTACCAAAATAGATCTTGAGGTATATTTCTTATTTCCTCCTTCCCTCCATGCCTCCTTCTTCCCTCCTTTAATTGTGGATGTGCATAACCTCCAACTATTTCTTTGCTAACTTACTACATAAGGACTGTAACAGAAAATAACTTTTACTTGCACTTCTGTGTAAATGTTATTATGAAGATTCATTTAAATTTATTTTCTGTTAGGTCATATGTATACAAGGGATAAGACAATTGTGTAATACCAACCAAAAAAAAATCAAATGTGTTAAAATTACAGGATAATATTTGTTAATCAATATAGATTATTCCTGACATATATTTGATATATGTCAAATATAGAAAATGACTCGTATTGAAATATGGAGATACTACGTTTTATTTTTGAGAGACTCCTTTGGTGTTATTTAAGAATTCAAACTGGCTGGGGACATTTATTTCATGTTCTAATTCTAATTTGCACCATGTAACTTTTTGCACAAGATAAACACAAAAATAACTAACACTTGAGAGATGAACAAATGGTCTTCAACAGTTCAGAGTGTTTATGTGATGTGACTCCTACATGCAGATATATATCCTACTTCAGACAAAGTCTCTAAGTACCATTACAGCACTTACCACAATATGTGTATTTATTTACTCATCTGACTTTTTGCTGTGTTGCCATGAGAACATACATAATGGTAGACTACAATACAAGTCAGTGGAACTTGTTCTGAAGAAGTAATGCATGAATTGAGATCAGAAGGATGAGATGGATTTATTAAAGCAAATATCCAAGAGAAGATCTATCAACGCAACAAAAGCAATAAATGCAATGTCCTAGGAGAAGAGAGATGAGGAATGAAAAGGAACTGAAAGAACAAGACATACAATGTAGTATATATATACATTATAAAATACTATGCAGCCATAAAAAGGAATGAGGTCATGTTCTTTGCAGGGACATGACTGGAGCTGAAAGCCATAATCCTCAGCAAACTAACACAGGAACAGAAAACCAGACACTGCATGTTCTCATTTATAAGTGGGAGTTGAACAATGAGAATACATGGACGCAGGGAGGGGAACAACACCCATTTGTGCCTCTGGGGAGTTGGAAGGAGAGCATCAGGAAAAATAGCGAAGGCATGCTGGGCTTAATACTTAGGTGATAAGTGCAGCAAACCACCATGGCACATGTTTACCATGTAACAAACCTGCACATGCATCCTAGAACTTAAAAAAAAAAAAAAAGAAAGGATGCCAAGGTGGGAGGCACCAGGAACCAAAGGCCAATTTCTACAATTGCTAGGAAAAAAGGTAGGCAAAGGAATGTCTGTACACAAAGGCTACCAGGCTACCATTTGCCTTTTTTGAAGTTTGTTCTGGCTTTGATGTGGAAGTCTGACTGGATAGGGTAAGTCAGGCCAGAGAGGGGAGAGGTGGAGAGAGTGGGATGTCAATTAAGATTGTTATTTCACGAAAAGGAACCATATGCCTTGGTGACGTTTACACTTCTGGTCTGCTGCCCAGGAGAAAAGTCCACTTAGTTCATTACATACAGGCACCATCTTTGAGGCAAACGTCCTTCTTTCTATATTTTTAAATTACTTTCTCCCTACATCTAAGATCTTAAGTTTTTGCCTTTTTTTTTTTCCCATGTTATACTTGCACTGATCTTAAACAGGCTCTGCTTTCCTGAACTTAAAGTACGTATATTTTCAATAGCGTTCTTTTTATGTTATTATTTTAAAGAAATTAAGGCCAATTCAAGGTTAAGGCTCCGCTGGCATTATTATATCTACTTGTATTCTAGAGCATTCATATGCATATAACGATGGGTGTTCTTATGAAAGAATGTCACATATGTGCATGTCATCTGCTAGATATAAGATTGGGAACTGCAGCTATGGCATTCAAAATCTTAGAAAATACTATGTTACGTGATAGTGGAATCTATGTTTCTAACATCATAATATGACACCGATTCTAAAATAAAAAAAACCCACCACCGCTAACAACTAAAACACACTTTGCAACACAAAAACTCACAAACCTGAAAGTACATCAAATTTATTAATTGCCCGTTGAAATATTTTTGCTTTGAGTATTTGCTGTAGTTGAGAGATGGACAATGCCCAGGTAAATACATCTGTATATAGAACTGATCCACTTCAAAGCAATCACCTTTCCCACAGCAGACATTTGTTTCCTTAAGTGGAAAACTGATAGAAGTCTACATTTACAGATATATATCCAAGCAGTCTAACATTAATTATATTGTTTATATAACACCTTCATAGTTTTGTCTAAGATATTGTCACCCACCATGAGTAAACATACACACTTACACACACACACACACAAAATATATACTGTATATAGGTAATTTATTTATAATTTATATAAATAAATATACTGTGGATCTCTCTATATATTGCATTATATATATTGCATATTATATATTGTATATATATTGCACATATCTCTCTATATATTGCTATATATAGCATTATATGTATAAAATGCAATTATATATTACATTATATATAAATATATGTTTATATATTATTATATACCATTATTATGTAGCATATATATGGCATTATATGTATATAATGCATTTATATATGGCATTATATATATTATATATATTTTATATTTTTTATATACATATATATATATATATATATATATATATATTCCCATTGAAAACATTTGTAGGAAACTCCCTTCTGGATTTTCACCTACTTTAAACATAAATATAACTGAATTTATTTCAATATTTTTTTCTATGTCAGACTTTATCTCTTTGGACTAGTAAGGTCTGAGGCTATAAATAACTTGGCTTATGCATTTTATCTTTTTTTTTTCATGCCCTATGTCTTATGTCAACTAGTCTCCATTCTGTTCACTAAACCTTTATTCTAACAGATGTTGCTTTTTTTTTTCCTTTCCTCTTTCATGTTATCCAGGGGAGATCAAAGCATTTAGTCATTCTTGTCCACTGAATGCAGAGGTGTGAGTGTGAAATTTTGCATGATTCCTGTGTTCAGGTTGCTTCTCTAATGTTTCCAATTACTTTATTTGATAATATTTGATATGTGTTGACTGCTTCAACTGATAGAAATCATCTTAAATCCAACTACTTTTATGAGAATAAAAGTTCCTAAAGTATTGAAACAATATTCAAATTTTGTCTACTTTGATGAGGCAGTTGATTCATTTTCAATAAGTAATACTATTTTTATAAAAGATATCATAAACATTTCCCCTGAAATTACATAATATAGTTTATAATCAGACAATTTATGCATGAAGAGGTCAAAGCCAACTATATTTTAACAATAATTATTGAATGTTACTAATAAGCATTCAATTTAATTTTTGAATACAAAACGTTATAAACATCTTGAGGTACATGGAAAATTGTGGCTTTCATTCCCTTTTAAACATTTGGCAGTGAGAGTGAAGGCAATGTAACATAATGGAAAAGACTCTGAATTAGCTGTCAAGAGAATTGAGCTTAACTTCAGCTCTTACCACTAAGTAGCCAAGAGATTTAAAGATACTTTTTAACTAATTCGAGTTTAAATTTTCTATATTATAAAGTGAAGGATAGGAACTAGAGAAGCTGTACAGTAACTGAAAGCTATAGTATTTTATAAACTTATTTTTTAGCAAGAATTTTATGGAAATTTTGGCCACAGCTTTTCTTTGGACATGTGTTTTTCTCAAAGTAAAATACCATATATTGTTGAGCTTTGTGTTCAGTATAGCATTAAGCATAAGTAGTTATGAGTATACAAAAATTTCCAAATGAATTTTTTTGCACTAAAATATTCCAGATGAAAATTATTTTCTTGGAAGCATTAGTTGAAAATAACTTCATTTTTGTCTTAGGATATTATTAAATTTTTTAGACTTCTCTAAATACAAGGTGGAAAAGTGAATAGGATGAAATTTTTTGTCATTTATGTGTCAAACACATCATTTCATCTTGTCTTTTCATTTCACCTCAAGTTGATTTTAATTCACAGACAGGAAATTGCTGATTGCCTCTGATGCACCTTATAAAGCAGGTACACAAGTCACTTCTATTTTTCTGGATTTTCATATGATAAAAATTGAGATATTTTGCTTACCAGTCACATACATTTTTCCCATTCTGTTAGATAAATTATTATACATTTCTAGAAAATAAAATATGTTTACATATGTCTAAGATACTGTGCAATTTTAACATGAATTTTAAAATGTTTCCATATTGCAGTTAGAAAAGTATGATCTGGTGTCAAGGTAGTACCTAGGAATGCTATCTAGCATGACAAGAATACGGATTCTTAAGGGCAAAGGTTACAATTGTCCCCAAGATTGAGGCCAGCAAAGGGCAAGTAAATGTGGGACGCCAAGCATCCATCTGTTCCAGGTGAAGCAATTTAAATATGAGGTAAGACAGTTATTAAATGCCAACAAAAGATAAATCAGAAGAAGCCACATTTGCCAGGAGAAAAGCACTTAAAAGGATCTTGAACCCTGGCACGTATACAAAACCGCATTTGCAACACAAGAAAAATACAGACTTTTAAGCCTCTGTATAAAGTTTTGTGCTAATCTCAAGTGAGGTAACTGATTGAAACAGAAAGTAGTCTAATATTTATTAATCAGTAATCTATGTTCTTTAGTGTACATGCATAGTGAATAGATAAGTATTTTTTAATCACAACAAAAATACAGGGGTATAAAAATGCTGGTTTAAGAGACTGGTTTAATGTCATTTCAGTGGCAGCAAAAGGCATACAATGAATCAGTGGCAGACTTGCGAATTGATTTTAGATCCCATTAGACTCGCTTTTTAACTGCTCAGCAGTTCCTGGGATTGCTTTCAGGGACCAAAGATACACAATGGATAAAATGGCAGACTGGAAAATAAAGATAAAATAAAAATGGAAAGTAGTCAATGGATATGGTTTGATTTCTGATAATTTGAAATAATACTCTTTTTCACCTATAAATGTATAAATCTTAAAGCTGTATTTGGGTAGTATTACCAAATATTCTATCATTTTTACAGAAGTAGATTTTAAATTACTAAAGAATAATAGCAAAATATGCAAGGATAAAAATAATTGCATTCAATGAAAGTTGAATACCTATGGCATTCGATTTTTTAAAGCAATGATTAAAGGATGACCCTTCACAAAAAGATATATTTCTCCAAATACATTTGTTCCTGCTGGAATTTCCAAAGATTCATAAGTACAAAATTAGAGTAAAATGCAGCCTTTGGAAAAAAAATGTAATATTTCAACATTCTTACAGCTAGGGATAGCTTGAAAAGGCCCATTTACATTAGAAATAATAGAATAAAGAGTATGACCATCTTCTGATATTTAATAATAATTTATGCTATATAAAATTAAGTATTTGCTGATTCTTAGAGTATAATTGGTTGATAATATACTGGTATTCATACTTTTCTGTGTATTTAAAATATTACATGATCATAATATTAGGAAAAAGTAAAAAGACATGCTTCATTGCTAAACTTACTTTGAATGAGAGTTGGAAAACATTTATTTTTATTTTTATTTTAAGTAATCTATTTCAAAATATTTGTATTAGTGCTACAAATCCTAACTTTTTCCTTTTGGTAAAAAATATAGTTATATTTTTCTTTGATTGTAAAACATGTTACTGCTCTTCTTCTTGTCCAGGTAGAAGTAAGGTAGGTGGGTTTTATTTATCTTTGCTCAATCCCTAGAATTTCTACAGAGAGAATTAGTAGTAACAGAATAACTGTTTTGTGGGGTATTCTAGCACTAGTTTTATTAAAACACAACTCCCAGTTTATGTTATTACTATAATCTTTTAAAGGACTCTGTGAGTTTGCCACTGCCAAGGAATTTTACCAAGGTGACATACACTATTTCAGCATGAAGAATTTAATGCTACTTTCAAGAAGGTTCTTGATAATGCAAATTGTAATGGATTTAACTTGAAATTCAAAGTTTTGAGTGTTTAGAACTAAGTATTAATAAGCACATCATATAGCATAATCTCAATGGGGTATAATATTGATGCCATTAGAAAGGCCATTTGTTATGATGGGCATGAGGACAGATGATATACTGGCTGTGTGATGTTATGTAACATGTTGAACTTCCCTGAGCCTTAGTTTCCTCAATTGAGAAACAGAGATAATGCTTCTTTCACAGAATTATTAAAATCAAATTATATAATTTTGATAAAGCTATCAACCATGCCAACAATAATAGCCTCTAATAGTAATAAAAGTAATAACAACAATCGTGGACAATAGTTATAGCAGAAGATAAATTGGATAGAATAACCAGAGATTAATCAGGAATTACATTTTCTTTTTTTTTCTTTTTTTTTTTTTGAGACGGAGTCTCGCTCTGTCGCCCAGGCTGGAGTGCAGTGGCGCGATCTCGGCTCACTGCAAGCTCCGCCTCCCGGGTTCACGCCATTCTCCTGCCTCAGCCTCCCGAGTAGCTGGGACTACAGGCGCCCGCTACCACGCCCGGCTAATTTTTTGTATTTTTAGTAGAGACGGTGTTTCACCGTGTTAGCCAGGATGGTCTCGATCTCCTGACCTCGTGATCCGCCCGCCTCGGCCTCCCAAAGTGCTGGGATTACAGGCGTGAGCCACCGCGCCCGGCCTTGAATTTTTTTTAAAAGAAAAGTGCATTTGAATTACTTTCACATATACATTCCCCAAAATAGCATTTTCTTTATTTACGAGTAATGGAGAAACTCTCCTTTGTGATATGCTATCAATGCAAAACTCACATAACTTTGCCTATAGTAGCTTAATGTTTTATGCACAACATAAATGCAGCTTAACGCAGCTGATTTGTAAGCTCAGGAGTTAAAATTAAATGTGCATGAACCACAATATGCTATAAAACAAGTTTGACTAATTCACAAAAGAATCATAAACGCTTTTTTTAATGAGGAGTTTAAACAGTGTCATCACCTCAGTTATATTTCATCTAATGGCTTATGAGATCTGGCTATTATTTAGATATCTTGATGTTTTCATTTGAGAATTGTAATTTTACGCAGCATCTTTCACTCAGTATCAGAATAGGGTCTTATGATGTCACTACTGAACTTTTGCTATAGCCTCAAAAGAGGATGTTATGTATATGTCTATTAATTTTTCTCTCATATTTATGCCAGAAATATGTTTCAAAGTGAATCATGGCAATAGTGGTTTTGTCTGTCTGAAAACTTGCATGGTTCTTGACTAGCTTGCCTAAACTAAATTTGATCTTAACTTTCTCGTCTCCTTTTTTTGAAAAGCAGTAAACTCTATGCACACTGGGCTATTTGCCATTTCCCTGTTGGACTATAATCATTTATGTTTTTCTCCTTCCATTCACTGTTTCCATAGCCTGTCTGTCTTCCAAATCTATCAATATCTCATCCATTTCCAAATTCCAGTTAGAATAAGATGGCCTTTGTTTACCTCATTGAGTGTTCCCTTATTTACACTCATCACTTTGTACAAACGAGGTGTGCACTAAGTATTTCTGAAGTGTAAATCCAGGAGAAAAAAATCACTCCGACATAGTCCTCTAAACCAGAACTAATCATTTTACTTTTCTTCTCCTATTGTATGGTGCTGGAATGTCCTTTTAAAGGTGCAGGTTCTGGATTCAGACATGAACTACTGAATAGCATCTTTGCCTCAGGTCTATTACAAAACAATCATGAAAAACCTTACTTTTCTCATTAGTAAAATGAAGATACTGAGAGTAGCTACCTCATCAGATTTTGTGATAATTAAGTAAAGTAATACTTTTAAAGTACAGGATATATATTCACCGTTCAATCAATATTAGTTATTGGGAGTATGATTTGTATTATTGCAGATGTCTTTACCAACACCGAAGTTAGATTTTTGTTTCTATGTGAGCCCTTTGAGGGATGATATTTGTGTTCATATTCCTTACAATCAATATTAGAAAATTAAGAAAAAATGTTCCTAGGTTTTTATTAAAGCCATTCTTATCACTACTGAATCATTCATGTGAATACAAATTGCTTCCAAGGTCATCTGGGCATTGTTAATTGCAGTTGAGCAGTATTGTAGCCTCAAATCTGAAGAAACATAGATATGAATGTTAAGCCTCCATTATTTTCTAGTACTCTCTCAGATATATCTAATAAAACCTTTATTGCAGAAGGTTTGCTCATGACGCTTTTCTTTTTCACCTCAGTGCTGTTCTCATTACCTCATGCTGATTCTCATCCATGTCCCTGCTATTTCTACTTCCCCATCTCTCATCCTGTAGGAGAATCATGGTGCAATGCTGAGACTGAACACAAGGATACAGCTGACTAATCAGACTGCTTCCCCATGGAACCCTATGATGTCATTTTTTTTTCTTTACACTGCAATTGCATTTGTATCAGTACAAACACATCTTAGCAATTTAGATTATGATATATCTTCTGGCTTGTTATAATTGCATGTGTATGCTTTTACAGCAAGACTGTTAGATCCATAAGGTTAGGTCCTTTCCATATAAAAAGCTTTCATGAAATGTCATGGATAACAAGAGGGGGTTCCATAACTTTGGATGCAAACAAAGCTATGACATCATTATCCTCCTTTTCACTATTCCAGAGTAATAGTTATTTATTTTATCTTCTCTTGGAAATAAGGACTCTTTCTACATATTTGTATATTGGTGAATGTCAACTGACATTATGCAAAATTTGAAGTTTTCACCATAAAATGATCTGAAAATTTACCGTTATGTTAAAACCACTGTGCAACTATAACACAATGGTTTTCTCCCCCCACTCTCTTGAAGTTCAATTGTGCAACATGTCAGGTTTGCTGGGTTATACTCCAGTTAGTTCTAACTGCTAGATTTCATTCAGTTTTGGTGACAATGATGTTTTTAAGGGGGTAAATGTAAAACAGTTTAAATAATATTATCATAAGCAACAATATTGGATTTCAACTATCAGATATTAATTTTTACACAAATGCTCATATAGGTATGATGATCACTTGTCATTCTGCATTCTATCTTTGCTTTACTTTGTAGGACTGAGCTGTCCTATACGGGAGCTACTAGTCAAATGAAACTATTGAACATGTGAAATGAGACTAGTCTAAATTTAGTTGAGCTCTAAGTCTCATAAAAACTCTAAATTTCAAAGGCAGTACAAAAAATAATGTCAATGTTATTAATAATTTTATATTGATTACATATTTAAATAATATTTTGGATATATTTAGTTAAAATAAATATATTAAAAATAATTTCACCTGTGGTTATTTTTATTCCTTTTAATATAGCTACTAGAAAAACTAAATTACATATGCAGCTAGCATTATACTGCCTTTGAACAGAGGTGTTCTAGAAAACCCTAACTTTGATAGACTCTAATGGAAATTACAAAAATGAAGTTTTAAACAAGGGTGCTAGTCTAAGCCCTATCACCAATCAACTGTGTGAATTTGTGTTAGTGATATCAACTCATATGACTTATTTCAAGATGCTAATTTAGGATAAAAGTGTGACTATTAAAGTGTGCTTTTCTACTTATCTGCCTTAAGAGAGTTTCTTGACTTATTTTTTACAAATCATGGTAATGTTTCTATTGTGAAATATGAGTTTTAGTCATTTTTTAAACCACAAGCTATCTGGCTTTGGCTGTGGAAGACAATGATCTACAAGTACTAACTGGATGAGACATTAATCCAGTAAGGAAAAGAGCAGTATTAAAGCTATGCAGACCAAATGTGCTAAGCCTGGAGCAGCAGAGAGCCATTGGGACCCATAGACCAGGGCTATAAAATTAGGGCAAGGAGAGTATCCTCTGGTGTGAATACAGAGAAGGAGATTGCATTATCGCTTTTTTTTTTTTTTTTTTTTTTTAACAGAGTCTCACTCTTGTTGCCCAGTGGTGTGATCTTAGCTCACTGCAACCTCGGCCTCCCGGGTTCAAGCAATTCTCCTGCCTCAGCCACCAGAGTAGCTGGGATTACAGATGCCCGCCACCACACCTGGCTATTTTTTGTATTTTTAGTAGAGATGGGATTTCACCATGTTGGCCAGGCTGGTCTCGAACTCCTGACCTCAAATGATCCGCCCACCTCAGCCTCCCAAAGTGCTGGGATTACAGGCGTTGAGTCACTGTGCCCGGCCTTTTACACTATCTTTTTAAAAACACTTGTAAGGTGTCTTCTAGCATGCTGTCAGAGTTACCACATATTGTATGGGGGTTTTTTTTGACAGTAACTAAGTATATGCTCTTTATATTTAAAATTAAGTACCAGCAAAATTGGAAAAGAAATCCAATTAAAATTAGTTATAGCAATGCAACATGACAATGACATTGCTATGTATACTGAAAAGTAAATACAATTTTGCAGTGTGAACATAGTCCTAGTACCCAGAAGCTACAGTCATTGCGGTGGGCAAATACACTTTCATGTGCTCTGGGATGATTTAATTCTCTCACCATTTTTCTCTATCTCAACCACAGCAAAATCTTCCTTCATACCATGAACTCTGGCCTTACTTTGGTCCTTAGTTGGCAGAATATAGCATTTGCATATCGAGTCAGGCTTTGTTTCTTTCTCATTAGCCCAATACAATTAAAGGAGCATTTTTGGCATTTAAATAATCATAAGCTTCAAGCAAATGAGGGTACTAAAATTTTAAATTAAAAAAAATAAATTATGACTGTGGGATAGCCATCCAAATAATTAGAATGTGCTTATTTCATTTTTTCACATTAATATCAGAATAAATCATCACAGTTAAAAACAAGACTGAGAGATAACTTACTGATGTCCATTTATTAGAAACACATTGCAGGAGGAGATGAAGGTATTCTGATTTCAGGAAATTCAGTCTAAGTTTGTTATGCTACTTTTCTTATATTTTAAAAAAATAAAATATTTTTTTCTCATCTGCAGATTCAAGTTGTGTTTCCACTCTTAAACTTTGGTTTTAAAATGAAGTTATTTACACAAGGAGACAAAGAGGTAAAAAATGAAAATAAAAATAAAACATAGAACTAGAGTCGAGAGGTAAAAGAAGGATTATGAAGGCTGGAGAATGAAAGGGAAGATGAAAAAGTACCAAACAGGTGAACAGGCAATGGGATTTAGTGTTATTTTTCATGTTTTTGTAAATTTAATATTTATAACAAATTAATGGAGGCTTTTATGAATAGAAATTTCCTCTTAAAGTAGATTATATGGGAAATATGTGTAAGGGAATCAATCAAAAGAGGACCCATATATGAGAAAGAGTAAGTAGGAGATAAATAACTCCAGTGACTGTCTCACCCCAGTAAATGTAAAAGCTTTGATCCAAACTAGGTATTAGTCTACAAGGAATAGGAAAACATGTTTATGGTTAATATTAACTGTATACGATGTAGTCCTTATCTGCATTGATTTCTGGTGAATCAAGAAGTCATTCAAAAATCAGATACTATAGTGCTCACTTCGGCAGCACATACACTAAAAAATAAAGTACTATAGATAATATATTATTTTAATAGGTGATTGGGAATGGCATTATTGTACCAATATGGCCTTATAAAAACTGTTTAAATTTGTCCAAATACTTTACCTGGCAATAGGTATGCTATATGTGCTAAAACACAAAACTAAATATCCTTCAAGGTAAGAATTTAATGCTAACACTTCTATTTCTATCTGTCACTGTTTTTAGGGGAAAAAAAGCTGTCAAGTATTATCAGTAAAAAACTGTACAATTGAACATACAAGAGGTACAGGATAAATGAATGTTAATCTCATAACTATTGTGTTTATATATCAAATATTCAGGGAAATCAAGTCAAAATATAAAATGCTCAATTGAAATGTTTTAATTAAGGGTGTGAAGGATGTTCATTTGGATTTTGGTATCTATTTTTTTAGCATTTTGAAATTTTTTTATTGTTTCAAAGTATGACTTAGGTCACTTTACTCCCTCACTTAAGCACTACCTCTATTAATTTTGAGAAATAGTCTTACTGATAATATTTAGAATTTAGAACTTTAACAGTCCAAGCAAAAATACACTAGTGAGTTGTTATCTCAGAATTTATTAACTGCAAAGCTTCTCCTCAAGTACAAAGAGCAGATCATTTTAAAATTTAAGTTTGAATATAAATGATGGTACTTTATTAAGCATAGTAACTTGTACAAGTCTATCTTCCAACATGATTCAAGTATTGAAAGATTAGGAAAGAAAAACCTAGAAACCACTATGGACTTTAATCACATTTGGCTCAGGTCCATAGTGCAAATGAGGGATATGCTGCATCTGATGGAGACAATGAACAGCTGAGTTGCCAATGAATCTCGACTTTTCTCACTGAGGCTAGCATGCTACAAAATAAATACAGACTCCAATGTAAGATCTCAGAAAGACAATCCACCTACCCAAAAGCAACTCCTTATTGTTTTCCCAAGATATCTGAATTTCTCAGTTCCGTACCAATTCGTAGAAATAAACTTGCTCTTCATTGGACTAAATAGTATAATAAATTGAAAGAAGTAACTCAACTAGAATGGGTTAGATTAGAAGTATAAATTAGTTGACAGAGCATTACCTAGTACTTAAATAACATTTTGGCCTGGGGCACTGTTACTAAGAGGATTGATTCAAAGTTTTGCATCAGAGCACACTCCTATTTCTAGTGGAAGGGAAGAACCAGACAAAACATTTTATTTCATATATAGATATATTGGTTGTCATTGTGGAAATGACCTTAGAGATAGCCATTAAGCCTCATTGCATTTCTTAATGTCCCTTTGGTTCTATCATAAATCTCAATCATGATATTATGAGAGTATTTATAGAGTTAATACAATTCAGCTCTCATCTGGGCCTGCCTTTTTTTTTATTTTAGATTTCCTGCCAGTAAGTAGAAAAGACCCATTTGGAATTTGAGAAAACATCCTGAGACATCTTCGAAAATCTGTACTTCTCCTAAATTCATACTTTGTTTTATTAACAGATGTAAATTTGAAGGGGAAATACCATATCCTGTAAGCCATTTGGGAATATTTTGCCTCTCAAGGATGACTCACACTTTTCATTTCAATGGCATGGATGCTGAGAGCTTAAACTCCAAACTCATGTGTACTCTAACTCTAAATCAATTTTTCCATGAACTCTGCAAGCATTTTATGATAAACACACACATGTGTATGATGTATGTGACCTCACTGGCAGTTTTCTGCAGTGTCAAGTGTTATTGGAAGATACCCAAGAATTGATTGACACATATCTTACAGAACTGGAGTTAATTAATAGGTCTACCAATTCCCAAATGTACCACAGGAAAGAGAAAATCTGTTTAAGACAGCAATCAATGACATACTGTGTGTGGTCAGGAGGCATTCACGATACAGCTAAAGTAGATTTTGGAATACGCTATTCAGGAGTGTAAATACAGTCAGGTGACACATAACATTTTGGTTAATGATGAACGGCATGTAGGATGGTAGGCCCCTAGGATTATAATGGATCTAAAAAATTCTTATTGCATAGTGACCTCATAGCCATTGGAAAGCCTTGTCTCTCTTTACATATGTTTAGATGAACAAATACTTATTATTATGCTACACATTGCCTACAATATTCAGTACAGTAACATGCTGTACAGGTTTATAGCCTTAGGAGCAATAGGCTCCACCATGTAGCCTAGGTATATAGTAGGCTATCCCATCTAGATTGGTGTAAGTACACTCTATGATTTTTGCACAACAGTAAAATAGCCTAAGGACATATTTCTCAGATTCTATCTCTGCTGTTAAACAACGCATGACTGTATTGCTATTAAAATGCCTGAAGAGTAAAAGAGGTCTATTTTCATAACTAGAAGACGAAACTGAAGGTTATTTTGCAAACGGTTGTATTATTACTTTAAAGGAACCATTAATTTCTTCCTATAAGATCCAAAGCTATTAAATAAGAAAGTAAGCCCTGTTTTCCTTCAAAGTGATGGGTTTTACTTCTGGGACATTCTGCCATATATGATGATAAGTCTATAATGTCATTTCCTGACAATGGAGTTTCAACATTCTTGAAAACAGAATGTAAGATGATTAGTTGTTTTAAAGGAAGAACACTGCAAAGAAAAAACTGCATGTTTAAATGTCCATGAAAGTCTTAATAAAAACAACAAATGATGTCTTTTTTTCTATGATAAAATTATTTGTTATATGTCTAGACAAAATTTTAAAAGGAGATTCGTCTTTCATTATTTCACATTGCATGGGGCAGGTAATAGCAAAGTACACACACAATGTCTAAACTAGAATTTAGGAGAAAAATAAGTCCTTTATCTGAAAAGTTGTCCTTGAGAACAAAAGTTCATATATTCAAACTCTATGACAGTTTATGAACTCTAAGCCAATAATCCTGGCCTCTGTTTCGATTGCTATTTTATTTCTCACTCTCCCGATCTATTACTGTCTTCTCCCAATAGTAGAAGTATACACTGTCTCTTTTTTTCAACTTCACCAACAGCATAACAGTTTAAATCCAAAGGTAGTGTTTTAAGTAAAATATAGATGAATTTAAAGCAGATTCTCTCTTAAGGCAGCTTAAACATTGAAAATTAAATTTGATGTAGTCTAGACAACCTATATTGATAATATCTTTTCCAGAATTTCATAGATTGACTGTCTAGACTGCTTCAAATTCCCCAGGTAATTGCATAATCATCTTACTTCTGATCCCCTAAATAGTCTGGAACAGTATTTCACAATCTATAGTTATCATGCAAATCAAAATCACTGAGCTTCTGAAGGAGGACCTCTCTCAAAGGCTGTGAGTTTCAGAGTCTCAGGAAAATACTTGCATTTCAATCTCCCACCTCAGAATGCTCGGGCGGGAAGCTTTATATATTAGCTATTTGGGTAGAGGAAATCCTGGTAAATGGCCTGGCTCCAGAACCTGTACCTCTTCATTTCCCCAGCTGCCCACCCATACAGCAGCAATGAGTAGTTGATGAGTGGAAGAGGAACTAGACTGTTAACTCTATTAAAATCTCAACTTCAAAAATCAACATTTCAGGAAAATGATAAAAATGCAAGAATAGCATATGGCATTTTAATTTAAATGACCATCAACATCATGTAAGCCTCACATTTAAAAGGGGGAAGTTAGGAGAGGTGCAGAATCACCCGGCAGCCATGAGAACCCAGTGCCATAATTTACAATATCTGATGAAGTGAGAAACATTTAAGAGGGCAAAGTGACAATTGCTAGCAAGCAAAACAGCAACACAGCTTTTAGGCTGTGATGCAGATTTATATTTTGTATTAAATACAAAATATAAAAATACAAAATGCAAGGTATAGACTTGCATTTTAAAATATTTATAGTTTCTAATATTAATTGACTTTTTTCAGCCACCATTATCCATTAGACAATGTTTAACTTTCACAACTGTATGAGGTACAGACCATTTTCCTTACAAATTTCTAGCTTAGAAACTTAGATACAGAGGAGGTAAATAATTTGCACCAGATTAAGCAGCTAGTACCAAGCTGAGGTTGAATGCAAGTCCTGCAGTCTGAGGCTAGAGGATATGCTTTCAACAATGATGGGATTAAAACTCCTTGAGTTTCTACAGGGAAAAAAAAAAAGAAAAAAGGCAATGGGTCATACTGTGCTAGGAGCAGTGGAAGGCAGTTAGAGGTAATAAGTCAACCTTGCATTTAAAATATACAGACACTAAGACTCAAAAGATTGTTTTTAGTTTGTGTTGCATGTTATGAGACAGAGTCTGAGAGACGTTAAATAATATTTCCAGTGCTCCACAGCTAGTAAGTTGTAGAGCAAGATCTGAAGCTAGATGTGACACCAAAGTCCAGTCCTTTCTGCTAATTTGTGCTAAAGGTTCAGCATTCCTGCTGGGAGCAGTGGCTCACGCCTGTAATCCGAGCACTTTGGGAGGCTGAGGTGGGTGGATTGCCTGAGCTAGGAGTTCGAGACCAGCCTAAGCGACATGGTGAAACCCTGTCTCTACTAAAATACAAAAAATTAGCCGGACATGTCGGCTTGCACCTGTAATCCCAGCTACTTGGGAGGCTGAGACAGGAGAACTGCTTGTACCTGGGAGGCAGAGGTTGCAGTGAGCCCAGATTGTGCCACTGCACTCCAGCCTGGGCAACAGAGTGAGACTCCATACTCACAAGAAAAAAAAAAAAAAAAAGGTCAGCATTTCTGATTCCATTGCCAATCATGTAGAGCATAATTCCTGACGCATGTAAAAAGTGCAATATCATGACTCATGTAAAAAGTGCAATATCATGCGGAGGGAGTTCTCTAGAGCTATCTTCAGAATATAGAAAAGTGAGACAATCACCTTGGGCCCAAGTTTTAGGACAACTGATGTATTACAATAGGAATTGGTTGAGAAGACAGCAAAGAGAGAGTGACTAAATCAGGTGCTAAAACAAATTATGTGTACAAGGTCTCCAGGACCATGTGCATAAATTTATCCCTAATTTAATCAATGTAAAACAAGCAACTTCACTAGAATTGCCTGTCCTAAAGTTACTTTTTACTTAAAATTCTTCAGTCTGTCAGCATAAATACTATACATATGGACTTATAAAAAAGAGAAGAAGGAAGGATGTGGTTGGGGAAATAGGATGATGAGGAGCCACTGGCAACTGGTGAGATCTTGGGAATGTGTCTTCCCTGGTTCATCAAGAAGAAAAAATAAGTGTGTTTAGTCTAGAAACCACATAATCTCTAAGGTGCTTTCTTACACAAAGAAGATATAACACAAACTGTTTTGATTTCTAATTCATTTGGGTCAAAAGACATATTTGTATCACTTTGGGACACTTCATGAAATTTAGGGAGAGAGTCTAAAGTTTAAGTTATAAAGAAGTAACTACCAGGTCAATTTTATCTTATCTTTAGGCTATCAGAAATATTTCAAGAATAAGTCCTTTATTTGTTGAGTATTTCTGAATTCCAGTTTTGAAGAAAATTCTGTCACCAATGATTTTCTCACCACGTGAACACTTTTGTTCCTCTTAGGATTTTGTGCCAAAAATTACAAGAGGGTTTATAATTGAAGGCTATTGATAAGCCAAATTCACCAAACTGCTTTCAACATTAGCAACCTTTTCTTTATCTTGATTTTTGCTTAAATGTACATAATTTCCTCACTAAAACATCTTTACAAGGAATAGACAGATTTTTTAAAAAAACATATTTTTTTCTTTTCCATACCACCAAATTAATAACGAAAAATATACAATCAAAGCTTAGCCAAGCAAGAATACAAATGTGAATAATGTGAGTCAAACTTGAGATCAGATCATTGTGCAAATGTATGGCATCCTATCTTAATCCCTAGGCAGAAGAAAACAACTGGGTGGCAGACACTTCTGGCTGAGGATGGAAAAGGAGGAGAAGGCTGGCAATATACAAATGAAGGAGAAAACACCACACATTCAGCCTGCTGACATCTGCTGCACATGCAAAATGGATTGGACTCTGTAATCCAGGGTGAAAACAAATGCTTTCTTCCTTCCTTCCTCCTGCTCCCTAGTTTTTGTTGAGTAATGTTCTCATTCTTTTTGCATTCACAGATTAAAATTAATAACAGCATCTGAGTTTGAAGTAGGTCCCACTGAATAGTGAACCACAAGCAAAATAAACTGAAGAAATTAGTAATGAAGCATTTTGAATAGAAAGGGGTCATGGACAAATATAATTTTTAAAAAGCCAGCGTTACCTCAGGATGATGTCCAATTTCAATGTAGGTGCAAATTGGATGAAAAGCCCCCGTTCCACAGGCGTACAAGTGAGTCTGATTATATGCCTTAAGTACCTTGATGAAATTAGCACATTCTTTCTGTAAGACAAAAGGAAAACCAAAGAGTTTCAGCAATCAGCATGACTGAGGTATCCTCTAGGGTGCTAGGCATGCTGGAACAGATTTGTCTTTTGTTTTCTTTCTTTTTTTTTTTTTGGCATCCCTTTCACAACATTTTAAGGACTTATTTATTATTCTATTGTTTTGCTTATATTATAATATGCATTAAAATATAGAGTTTCTTACTCTGGTGAGAACAATTATTTTATGCCCTTCCGTCAGTCTTCCATTAAAACTATTTTTAATTTATTTATACAAAAGTGGAAAAGAAATTTAGACAATCAATAATCACAGGTGATTTTTCCAGAAATGAGGAGAGCACCAAATTACTTGATTAACTAATGAATTAATCAAACAAAATGATGGGGAAAATTTACTTGCAAAAATCAGTTTTCAGTTCCATTTTAGGAAAAGAAAACAAAAATATAATATGACCCTCTAATAAACATAAAGTTTAAACATCATTAGTAACCCATTTTGGAAATATCCAAATGAGTATTCACATGGTAAATAATAAAAACTGCATTCAAATTATTTTGTTAAAGGCTATAGACTTTCTTATCTACTTTCTTTTTTCTATAAACATTTGGAATTAAGAACCAAATATGTAACTATAGATGCAGTTAAGGATCAAGCGTGGACAACAGTACAAGCAAGGTGGGCACACATGACAGGACTGGGTTGTTCCTGGCACTTCTAAGTGTGTCACACTCCCAAAGTCATTCTCTATGACTTGCCACTTTTCAAGTGAAAGCTCAGAGTGCTTTATGTAGTCAGTTGGAGCTTACAACTGAGGTGGTAAAATTATTTGAGTACATTTCCAAATGACATCTGTATTCTATACTTGCAGCTGATTATTTTTATCTTAATTCCATTGCCCCCATAAAAGAAGGATCAGGCAACCAAATTTAAGCAGATTAATTGATATTTAAATTCAAATAATTGCTGTCTATTATCACTTATTTTTCTAGGATGAAACCTGATGATGACCCTAAAATACATTGCCCTAAAAATGAATGTGGCCTATTTAAAATAAAATGCGAAAGTTTCTAGTTATGACTCCTCTCTCATGCTTTCCTAACATATGCTGAGTACTTTGGGGGTAACTAAAATAAACATAATTTCTTCCACTGTTTTGCTACACAGATCCTAAGTCTTTCTTTTGTCTGGTAAGGCATTACAATGTATAAAATTACTCTCTGAAATAAATTGATCTTGCAAGTTGTTATGAGGAAAAATTTCCTAGCTTAAAAGGTATGTGGATCTCATCCATGTTTCACTTAAATAGGGTACCTCTTAGGGGTAAAACTATGAAACAGATATAACTTAACTTCCACTACTCTTAGCAACAAGCTCTCCATTCTGTAAGAGTCTCTCCTCCTTCCCCAAGAGAATAGGGCATGAAGGCTTGGGCAGAGGAAAGAGGTTGTAGAAAGGGAAACATCTGATAAACTCATTTACAAACCAGGCATTCATGGGCCTTTCCCAAAGGATTTATCTGTATTCTTAAAAAAAATTCAGTCATTTGCAAAGAAGCCATTTTCAGGAAAATGTTTACTTTGAAACACATAGGTGGCCACATACTCTGCTTTTATATAAAGATTATCATCTCTGATTGTGGGCTCAATATTATAGTATTCAAGATTAGAAATAACCAGTTCCAGCACCATATGCTGAAACCAAGAAATTGGCTGTGTACATATTGGTAAGCAAACAGATATTCTAATAAATAATAGTGGCAGACCCAGATGGATGTCTTTTTCATTCTAGAAAAGAACAAGATTTCAGTCTGCATGCCATGCCTTTAAAGATATGCATGCAATTTTTTCCACAAACCCCAATTTTTCAGTCCTGTCAGTATCACCTAAGTGCCTCCTTAGAAATATGACAGTGAACTTACTTCTCCCTAATAAAAAAGGAAAAACATATTTTACCAGTAAGAAGACTTGTGAACAAAACAAAGGTTCATGTCACCTCTGCAACTGTTATGAATCATAATGTCCCAGAATTTGTGGGCTCTTTATCTCTTATAGATTGAATAACTGACTAGCAATTTATAGTGACTACATCTGTCCTTCCAAGGAAACTAGCAGATTGTAATTAATGACTGAAAAACTCTCAAGGTTCTTGCTAACTATGAAATTGGGCTCCACTGAATATCATAATTTTAATTTGTTCTCTATTAACTACTAAAGAGGAACCACTATAATATGACAACAATTCCCCTACAGAGCTGTTGGAACAAAATCAATCACAGGACCAAAGCTGTGAAACCTGGCAAAGGGTTCTACCTAGAGTGCTGATAACGGGAATCTGTCTGTGTTACAAAGCAACTAGACTCACCCTATTGGCCTAAGGCCTGGAATGATTCCCTTCATTTCCCCACTGAACTCTCCCAGTTGGCAGCAGGTTGTACTGTTACCATGCCCTGGGGGCAAGCTCAATATTATTTTGGAAGTGAAGGTTGATGCAAATAGAAGGGAGAGAAATTTCTTGGGCTTAGAGGATATAAAGATGCTTGAAATGAAACAAAGGAATGGAAGGAAATACTTTCAAATTTGGTTAAAAATAGTTGAGAGGAGACTCATCGAAAACAATGGAGGAGGAAAGTGCATTAAAAGAACTGGACAGAGAAGAAGCAAAAATTTGACAGAGACATTGTTAGTAAGGATTTGTTCTTAACAGAAAACCTACATAAAAGAGTATCAATCCTGTCATTCATTTGCCTTCATTCTCTAGCTTGTTGCTGCCAAGGTTTTCGAGTGTTCCAAAACAGGATATTCATTTTATTTGGAAGCAGCTTGGACATTCCTCTAAAAAAGAAGGAAGTGTGGCAGAAAAAGGAAACACACTTCACACATTTCTGCTCTAGGGAGACAGAAGAAGAGTGTTTCTGACCTTTTCTTGAACCATGACGATTCTTAAAACTCAGAATGTAATGTACTTTTTGGCCTTAAACTACTGCACTGCTTTGCTCAGCACTGGAGGATTTACAATGTAATAAAGAGAGTGGAATCAGTTCAAAATGAATTCATTTTTCAAACCTTGATCCTTTTTGGAATTTAAGTTGATGAACACAGACAAGTTTAGCAACAAGTTGGCAGTTGGCTTCCCAAGAGTCAGGCAACCATATTGACCTCTTATTTTACTGAAATGTTCCCCAGAGCAACAGTGTTATAGATTGTTAGCTAGAAATAAAAGTAAGGGCAGTTATAAACCAGTAAAATCCAAGGCCACACCTGAGGAGTAATGATTCATCACCCTTAGTGACAAACCACTTACCCTTATTTTTTTAAGGGCCTCTTGTCTTTTCAGATCAAATGGATAGAGGAATTATGTATAAAGATATTACCTGGAGAAATAAATTTAGAAGAAAATGTCTACCCCTAGAAAAAGATACAGGAGCCAAAAGCACAGTGATTCAAAAACAAACATTGCAGATATGAAGCACTGATTAGACTGTGTTACGCAGACTTTTCCTGGACGGTTACAAAAATAAAGTCCATCCATCTGTCAAAACAACTGCTCCATGCATGAAAATTAAACAGAATTGAGGTGTTTTTAACTAACTTCCGATAATTATACTTTCTACAAAAGAATATGATTTACCTCCAATTCCAATTACCTCCTTGCATGTTCTTAAATTCTGGATGGAGCAGTTAAATTTTACTCTAAGTAAGCGAAGAGAAAAGAAGAGAAGACTTGTGAACGTGAACAATCTCTATTCAAATATATTCAGTTCATGATTAAATCAAACAACTTGTTCTGGCTCAACTATAAATCAGTCCAAAATGAATGGGTAGCATATAACATTGACTCAGGTCAGTGAGAATTCCTGTAAAAAGAAGAAAAAAAATGCTTCTATCCCATCGATAGTTTGTGTAGAAATATTTTGGTGCATAATCTAGCAGCTGGGAAAGCAAAGGAAACCTTTTCCTATCATGATGGGTGGATACATTTCTGCCTGAAAACCCATTAATAAGCTTAATTCCTGAAGTTAATCTGTTGACTTTCTTTTTCTCTGGTCAATTTATCTGGCAAGCTAGCTGAATACTGGAATCTTCGTGCCAAAGCAGTAATCCGTGAGATTGTTCCTGTCACTCACTTTATCCCTTCCTCTATTTAAGCTTTTCCACACTTATCTGGCAATAATGTTTAGTCTTTTTTTTTCTTTTAACATTGTGCTATTACAGCTGTAATCCGATCATCCATAATTGTGTTTAATACTTCACTATTCACTAAAGGAGGTTAGAAATCTCTTCTCCAAAGAGGCTTATCTAATAAAACTAAAATATAAACCATGTTATAATTATAATATTAGCCTTCTAATGTTGAATTTGTGACTTGGAATTTTTTAACACTCATCTTTTTAAGTGATGAATAGGCAGTTCTGTCCATTTTGGGAGGCATTTTTACCTTCAGTATTTAGAATATGCCATAATAAAATGAACTGAACTTTCCACATCAATGCTTTTATATTTTTTAGAGATTTGAAATAATACTGACTCAACTAACACAACAAAGTTACCATTATATATAGCCAGTTATTTTGGTATGTAGGCATATTCATAATAATTGAACTATATCACCATTAAACCTATGATAACTGAAAAACAACTTTTAAAGTGGCTTGAATTATATGATTAAACTAAATGAAGACTCTCTGTACAAGGCTCCCAAATTATTTTACTTAAATGCTCATTTCAGTTAAGTGCCCAATTTGACTGCTCTTTCCCCTCCAGATTGACTATTTGTTTTGAAGTCCTAGAAATATTGTTCAAGACTCTATAAACATTTTTCTTTCAAATTACTTGAAACCTTCAAACATGTTCAAAATGATTATACACTAGGCACTATAGACCATGCTATTAGCAAAAGCTGACTGCTGTGATTTTCTTTTATTTAAAGGAGTTCAAAAAATTCACTTTGAAATTCTGTGTGGACCATAGAAGCTTATGATATCTATTTTTAGGCTTATGTTTTCTTTTATATTATACTATCACTCTGATTCATCAGGATGTGTGCCATTCATTTGCATGATTTGATTGTGGTCCATTATATGTACCTAGCATAACCTTTCTTCACCTCATATTGCAATAAATGCAGACAATTAAAAATATTCTGGGAAATCTACATAAATATGTTTCCTACCGAACCAGGAAAATTATGAAGTACTCACAATCCTCACCCTGATTTCAAAAATGATATTCTGTGGTTTCCAATTTTATGCAAGGTGCTGAATATTTAGTGTTCATGCCTTAATGCAACCAAGTCATTGGTTTACATGAAGTAAGGAGAGTTACAATGTAAAGGAATTTATTGTGGACAAAATTATTTGGCATATTTAATTCTAACATACATGCCTTTACCATAACAGAAATCATTACACATAAAAGAGAGATGAACTGCATCTTTAATTGCATGTGAGATGTAGCCTTAGGGAAAGACAGAAAAACTGAGCCCATATTTTAGAGGAATGCTTGATTTCATTCACATCTACCTCCTTTCTACCCCATCTTGCCTAATATCAAAAATTAATTTTTGTTGGAGTCTTTAATGTCCAAAGTACTGAAGTCTGTTTTATAGTTATAATATAAAATATTATCTTAATACATCTTATAATAATTGAAGACCCTAATCAAGTTTAGTGTTTGTGACATAGACACTGATGTATCACTTATTCAAATGCAAGTGCCTGTGGCATATTTCACACGTATACTCTTTTCCTTTTCTTTCTTTTTTTCATGACCAAGTTTAGTTGCTTTAAAAGGAGATTAAAAAGTAGAACATTCGGAAAGA
The DNA here is from genome assembly GCF_000001405.40 of Homo sapiens. Classification (NCBI taxonomy): domain Eukaryota; kingdom Metazoa; phylum Chordata; class Mammalia; order Primates; family Hominidae; genus Homo; species Homo sapiens. The sequence goes on from NC_000007.14 coordinate 84,116,410, forward strand.
AAGAACTTTTACAATATAAAAAGGTTTGAAAAGAAGTCAAATGCCCATAGGGTAAATGAATTATCAAACCAGAGTTGTGAGACTCTGTTATAAGCTGAACTCCATTTTCTCAAAATTTATACCTTGAAGCTCTAATCTCTACCATCTGGGAATATGACTCTATTTGGGGATTAGGGTCTTTAAGAAGGTGACTAAGTTAAAATGAGGCCCTTAGTCTAGACCCTAATCCAAACTGGCTGGTGTCTCTATAAGAAGAAACTTGGATACATAAGGAGACATCGGGGCATGAGTGCACAGAGGAAGGACCATGTGAAGAGGCAGCAAGAGGACAGTCATCTGCAAGCCAAAGAGAGGAGGCTCAGAGGAACTCAACCCTGCTTACACCTTGAACTTGGACTTCTGGCCTCCAGAACTAGAACATAAATTTCTGCTGTTTTGGCCACCCAGTCTGTGCCACTTTATTATGGTAGCCCTAATGGAGTAATACAAACATTAAAAAGAAAGTGGGTAATTGGAGGCAACCTGATGCTTGGTTAAAAGATACTTAAATTTACCATTGCTTAAAATATTTTCACCATCAGAACATACATGGTAACAGAATTTTGTCACCTGTCAGCCAACTTTGGATCTTCTGCTTTGTACAGAATTAGATATTAAAAAGGAAATTTTACAAATTTCATTTTTTTCTGGCACAATTTTACTATTTCTTCAAATATCGTCCATATATCGTAATCTTCCCAAATATGCACATATATGTGGATATTTGTATGCAAACCATATGTATATATCAACTTGTAGAAATAATTTATGCACACATTTAAATTTCAGAAATTTGGAATTTTTAAATTTATTTATGTTTAGTGATATGTAGTAAAGATGTTACTTATTGAAGGATATTTGCATTTGAAAAGGCATTCTCAAAAACTTTAAGAAAAAACATGTAGGACAAAACGAACAATTTCATAATGGTAAAACAGAAATTGGGGTAGTTACTTGTATCTCAGTCTTACAATTTAGAGCAGGGGTCCCCAACCTCCAGGCAGACTGGTACCAGTCAGGGTCCTGTTAAGAACAGGCTGCACAGCAGGAGGTGAGCAGCAGGCCGGCCAGCACTACCGCCTGAGCTCCGCCTTCTGTCTGATCAGCTGCTGCATTAGATTCTCGTAGGAGCGTGAACACTTTTATGAACTGTGCATACAAGGGATCTAGGTTGAGGTCTCCTTGTGAGAATCTAATTAATATCTGATGATCTTTGGTGGAACAGTTTCACCCCAAAACCATCCCCTTTTTGGCCTGTGAAAAAATTGTCTTCCATGAAACCAGTCCCCGGTGCCAAAAAGATTGGGGAACCACTGCTTTAAAGTCAGTTAGACATGGGTTAAAATTATTCAGGCATTTTCCATTTGCTGTGTGACTATAAGAAAGTTACTTAGAATCTCTGAGCCTGAGTCTCCTCAACTAAAAATGAGATTAATGATATATTCATGTAAATTACTTAACATGATGACTAGCGCTTATTAATTGATAGGTAACTGGTTATCCAATTCTTAAAATAATTAAACTTCACTATTGTTTGGATATTTCTATGACTGCTTAACTCTCACACTCTTCTACATATTATGCCATTTCACCAATTACGACAAGAGCTCCATTATGAATAGTTCATTCTTTATAAGGATGTAGTTAATAGAGTTTAAGCCTATACTTGGTGCTAAACAGAGATAGATTTAACAAAATTGGTTTTGAGTATTACTCTGTGCCCATTTCTGCTACCAAGGGCAATTGCATTTTGTTTAATAGAATTTCTATGAAAGCCTAGTCCTCTGGCAGTGAAGACTTATAAATTATAATCACTCTTGTTATCAAAGCAGTAAAAATGCCAGGATTCATTTTCTCAACACAACAGCAAATACAGCGTGTGTTAGTCAATAGCTGTGGCAGAATTGTATTGTGCCAAATGAAATAAGCTGGAAAAATATTTCCTCAAATTCCCTTTTCTATAGGTTGGTTTAGGCTGGCTATCAACAAAATCTGCATGAGATTTGGGAGGTATAAATTAAGCTGCAACCATTACACTCCCCAGGTTGTTCTGATCTGCTGGCCACGTTGTTAGCGTGGGGCAGTACCTGGGCCTCCAGGTCCTCTGGCTTCCACCAAATCTCATTTGTTAGTTTCTACAAGACTGAGTCCTGATACTTGTATAGCTCCATGACAAAAGACATCAGTTTCTTCTTTAAGTCACCCAAATCGACCCAAAGAAAGTTAGAGGTAGTAAAAGACACTATGGTCTTAGTTTGTGATTGTGGGTCTCAGTTCTCCTTGCTCTTCCTACTTCATGTTCGGCTTTTCCTCTATAAACATAAACAACTGTAGTTACCTACAACAACTTCACGCCCACTACCTGTCTCAGGCAGTAGCCTTCCATAGAGTTCTTCACCAGCTCTCATGATTGTATAAGGTCTAATTCCCATAATAAAACTTTTTCCATATCAATCACACAGTTGGTCTCTGGTAAAACCATGATGAAAAGATATATCTTACAGCCATAGACTAGCTCATTGTGATATGTAATATAAAGGGAACATAAATTTGGCCTATTTAAAAATACACACATGCTTGTTGTAAGAACTAATGACTAAAGGTCATTAGTTAATAATTTTATTTACTTCTAAATATGAATGATTTCTGCTTTTTAAGTGCATATTAAATTCTATAATCAATAAGTTATATTAATTTTGGTATCATTTCAAGCACAATACTAAAAAAACTATCTTTTAGCATTGAATACATATGGAATAAACACATGCACACATGTATGCATACATAATAGTTACATTTAACACCATGTATAGCATGGATAGTACAGTATATTTTGCACCTAATTTGAATGGAATAGTGAGAAGCTTCAGGAATTTTCTGCTCTTAAAGCCAAAAGTCAAGATTCTGCATCTCTAGAAATAGTGTCAAGTTTTCAGAGCTACCATAATTTTGCAGTCTGTTTTCCATGCTACCAACTAAAAAGTCCAAAAGTAAGTAGACGTATATTAAAATTAAATGGCAGAATTTTGGGAAAGTTTCATGATGTCCTGTGGACATAAGAAGCTGATGATTTTTAGTGTTATTGCACAAATGATTTTTATGTTTCTAAGTCAAGTAAAAGGAAAATAGTCAAAAGTTGGTGATGGCATATTTGTCTTGAGACATAACACGTCTGAGTAAAATATTATCAGAGTCCATGTTAAATACAAAATATGATGGACAGTGTACTCTCAGAAATGAGTAGAAATCCACTTATGAAGATTATCAGACACATATAGAAGAATACTAAACACAAGTATTACAAACTACGTGTCAGTGGGACTTGGATCAACTTGCTAAATATGAGGTAAGAAGATATTGGCCAAAATCTTTTTTCCTGAAGGAACTGGTCAAATCATGATAATAAACCTTCCAGAGTATAAAATACTTACTGTACTCTAAAAGTATGTACACTGATGCATGGATGAATTATGGTGTCCAGTCAAATCTAAATAATAATTTGTTAACCAATGCCAAATATTTTATCTTCATTTCAGCCACTTAAGGATGCAATTGAAATTTTCAGTAAAAAAGGAACACAAATCAAAATCTCCAAATCTTCTGAAAGATGTTTATAAAATGTCTGTATTTCAAATGCTAGCCTTACTTTACCAAAAAAAAAAAAAATTAAAATGCATTTAAATTTTAATCCTGACCCTAAAAGATTTCCAAAAATGTAAGTTTATCTGTATGAGACTTGGTTCATGGCAATTCAAACATAATTAATACCAACCTATTTGGCTGTATTAGTAAAATGTATTAATTCAAAATATGAATACTACCTAATTTCTGAAATAAACTTAATGACAAAGTTTTATTTGCCATGTATCTTTTACCTTATATGCAAAATTTGCTTGTTTAATTACTTGAAAAGAAATATGGACTTGTAACCAAATATGAGTCACTTAAACGAGTTAACATACAAAATGCATTTAGATCAATACCAGGTATAAAGCAAGCTCTCCATAAGTGTTGGATATTATTACACTGCTTCTGAAGGCTACAGTTAAACTGTAATTATTCAGTTCAGTGTACCAGATATTTACCCACAAACAGATACAGACATACACAGGTACATACATATGAAAATCTATGCTCATAAGATAAGGCATTTACTGGCATTCATCAAAAATCAGTTATCTGTACAACTGAAGTGCCATCAAAATTCTTGATGAAAATCATATTTAAAATGGATAAACTGACCATATTCTTTCATTTGTAAGATTATGCAGAGTGTCCACATAAAATTGTAATCGATATTTTCAAAAATTATAAAGGGTCTGGGGTTTTACCCTATTTGTAAAGATAGCAAGTTAGCCTACCAGGCTTTCATGAATACTAACAAAAGATTGTGACTCAGGGTTCAGAGGTAAAGGACTTTATTACTCACAAAAATAGTGCTAGCTAGAGTATTAGAATTTCTTGTGCTATTTCCACTGGGCATTGGGAAGAGGGTCAGGTAATACCTATACATGTGGTTAGTTGCATTATAGGAGAGGAACTCTGGATGAAAAAACCTAAATATTTTATAATAGGTATAGCATGCTGACCTTTAGATATTGATGGAGATGTTATGTTTATTGCACCGGACAGTGCGCATATCTGCCCTTTGCTCCAGAGGGAGACACTCTGTTTCCCAAGACCATTTGCAAACCAGCCTTCTACTTCAGAGAAAAACACTATCGTAACTGTATAAACAGCTTTTTCTTACTTTAAACTTAATAAAACAATTTTTTATGATACTTTAAGTTCGAGGGTATATGTGCACAACGTGCAGGTTTGTTACATATGTATACATGTGCCATGTTGCTGTGCTGCACCATTAACTGGTCATTTACAATTAGGTATATCTCCTAATGTTATCCCTCCCCACTCCCCCCACCCCACGACAGGCCCCAGTGTGTGATGTTTCCCCACCCTGTGTCCAAGTGTTCTCATTGTTCAATTCCCACCTATGAGTGAGAACATGCAGTGTTTGGTTTTCTGTCCTTGCGATAGTTTGCTCAGAATGATGGTTTCCAGCTTCATCCATGTCCCTACAAAGGACATGAACTCATCCTTTTTTTGGCTGCATAGTATTCCACGGTGTATATGTGCCACATTTTCTTAATCCAGTCTATCATTGATGGATATTTGGGTTGGTTCCAAGTCTTTTTTTTTTTTTTTTTTGAGACGGAGTCTCGCTCTGTCGCCCAGGCTGGAGTGCAGTGGCGGGATCTCGGCTCACTGCAAGCTCCGCCTCCCGGGTTCACGCCATTCTCCTGCCTCAGCCTCCCAAGTAGCTGGGACTACAGGCGCCCGCCACTACGCCCGGCTAATTTTTTTGTATTTTTAGTAGAGACGGGGTTTCACCGTTTTAGCCGGGATGGTCTCGATCTCTTGACCTCGTGATCCGCCCGCCTCGGCCTCCCAAAGTGCTGGGATTACAGGCGTGAGCCACCGCGCCCGGCCGGTTCCAAGTCTTTGATATTGTGAATAGTGCCTCAATAAACATACATTTGCATGTGTCTTTATAGCAGCATGATTTATAATCCTTTGGGTATATACCCAGTAATGAGATGGCTGGGTCAAATGGTATTTCTAGTTCTAGATCCTTGAGGAATCGCCACACTGACTTCCACAATGGTTGAACTAGTTTACAGTCCCACCAACAGTGTAAAACTGTTCCTATTTCTCCACACCTACCCATCTGACAAAGGGCTAATATCCAGAATCTACAAAGAACTAAAACAAATTTACAAGAAAAAAGTCAAACAACCCCATCAAAAAGTGGGCGAAGGATATGAACAGACACTTCTCAAAAGAAGACGTTTATGTAGCCAACAGAAACATGAAAAAATGCTCATCATCACTGGCCATCAGAGAAATGCAAATCAAAACCACATGAGATACCATCTCACACCAGTTAGAATGGCAATCATTAAAAAGTCATAGAGATCTTTTTTTAAAAAAGCATGCAAAAAGCTAGTCAGGGCGTCTGCTCATAAGATGTGAGAAATGTGAAGACCCATGAAAAACTATATTCCAACAATTATACATGAGGATTTTGAAATGTAATGTAATTTTATTATTTGATAGGCTCCCAAATTAGAAGGTAATTCTAATTATCCACTTAATACAGTTTTATTATGTCTCAATATGTCTAAAATAAAATTTAAAAAATTGAAAGTTCATGTCAAATTTGACCTTTGAAAAAGTAATGAAATTTAAGGGTTGACATAGGCATTTTGGAATGCACTGTAACTTTAGATGCATGTGCAGCTTTAAATTCTCATTGCATTCACTTGGCAAAAATTAGTGCTATTGAGGTCCTGCAATTTGAGCCACAGTAAACATGATAGACATTATAATATATCATATCATTAAGAGGAGTAACAACTAAGGACAAATATATAAAAATAAATCCCTCAAGAATTTTAAAAAGTCTCAAAGTTCAGGTGCATGATACAACACTTTGAAATGTATCCAAGAATCAGAATGTTATGAGAGTCTGCTTTTTTGTTCCTCTCAGATGGTTGAAATTTTGATTTCCAATGATGTTCAAAATATTTCTAACAGTCATACGGTTGCCATTTGGTTTTACTGAAATTTAGTGCAAAGAGAGATGGTTTAGTAGGATAAACAAAGAAGATTCAGAGAGCTATTGATTCAAAACAGATTCTTTTACCAGCTTAGAATGTATTCAGCTTTCATTTGCAAAACAGGGTCAATGAAGTTAATCCATCAATAGAAATGTTACTGTGTATAACCAACTGAATTTTAAGCACTAGAAAAATACCGAAAATGGGAGTAACGGTGAATAACAGCAGCCAGAATACAGGTATCTCGACTGTATTTATTTCCCTATCCAGGGTCTCTGTCCAACAGTATTATATACTGCATTATATATATATTTTTCAAATAACAGCTCTCAAGTAACAGCAATGGAAAAATTCATAAGCATTTCACTACTCTAATGCTAAAAATGCCACAGCAATTTGAAGGTTTAGAATCTACAATACCAAAAAAGACATATTAATATGATGATTTGTTTTATATCCTGTACATTCAGTTCTACAAGAGAAAATTAAATGTAGATGAATATCAGAAATGTCATCACCAGCACATGCATGTACATGCATGCGCAGGCACACACACACACTCTATATAGAAAAAATATATAAATATATAGAAAAGCAATATTAAAAGAACAATAAGTGTTATCAGATAAACATATATTTTATATATATCAGATAAAATATATATATTTAAAATATACAATTTATTTCTTATTGTTTAATATATATTATCTGATAACCTTATATATATATATTTATCTGATAACCTGATATATATATATGAGAGAGAGAGAGAGCAAGAGAGTATAACTATGTGCCTGAGGCTACAGGTTTCCTCTTTAACAACAAAGTCCATTCTTTGTGGAATAGTTGCTTGAATTACAGCTGCTGATTTAATATATGTGTTTGGTGCAAAACTCGGCAGAGAGTAATGATGAGTTATATTATCCCAGCTGCATGAGAGAATGCGGAGACGTTTCACTTTTCTGTATGATACCATACTCAGTGACACAGAAACTATGTAGGTTCAATCCAGTGGCATGTCCTGGTTTCTGGTTTACTGTGTTGTCATAGCCATAGGAATGAGCTTTTCCTTAACTAGGCATAAGAATGGCCCACTCTAAAAGTGCATAAGATTAGCCAGTGTCTTGACCCCTCTTTTCCTATTGTAGCCTTCTATCTGAATCTGATGCTGCAGAGATAGCATTTTACCCAGTGTGACTTGTTTAAAGGCACTTCATTTCCAGTGGACTTTTCGAGGAAATCAGTAGGAAATGGTAAGTGCAGGCTCCGGAAATCAGGGATAACAAGTAAGGAGGTTGTTTGTTTACTTTACTATAAATGTTCAGGTCAGTTCCTATTTTGGTTACAATTCTGTCTTGGAGCCCTGATGGCTGCCACAGCCACTCACATCCATTCTTGTGGTTTTCAGTATTACCCGAGCCCTTTGAAAGGAATTATTGTCTGTAAGTCACAGCTGACTATTATTTACCCAAGATACAGTGCAGAATTTCCATCAAACTGTCCGTTGTGTCACTTTGCAAATCAGGTGTCAAATGAAAGAAAAAGCCTCTTTCTTCTTAATATTTATTTCTTATTGTTTATTTAAATCATTGTTAAAAATAATAATGCTATTTATTTTCTTATGTTTATTAAGGAAGGGATGTTACAAATCCCAGGGATCCATCCAATAGCTATTTCTAAAATCATATATTAAGAAAGAAATGCAAAAATTGCATCTGTAAATTAAAATCCAAAAATAACCAATGAATGCCATGAATCATCTTGAAGTGCACAAAATATGTAAACTGAGGCATTACTTAAATGAGGTTAACTGAAAATTAAAATAAATTTTAATAAAATTATAAATGAATAAAATATATCTTGCATAAAAAATGTATGAAAAGCAATATTAAAGGATCTATAAGGGTTATCAGCAAAATAGTATGAAATACATTTTAACATTGAGTAGAGCTGGAAGAAAAATATATTTTTCCTTGAAATAAAATATATAAAAACTTCTGTTTTCCTTTCACTATATAAATCATAATGGAGAAAATTCAAAATCTTGAATTGATTTAATGCAGAATATGAAGAAATACCAAAGCACAAATATTTTATAATGTTACAATTAATTAATTAACTGATTTTTGAAAACATTATTAAGGCAATGTTATCACACCATTGCACTTTTAAAAATGTGTGTCTCTCTATGCACTTCTATCATAATGATTTATATTTTTTCAGAATCTTTATTACAAGGTGCTGTGAAATGATCTGGTGTCACTCTATCAGATTCAGCAAACTCCATGTCTTAGATCCTTTTAATTAAGTTCCATAAAATTCATAAACATTTTTAGTAAGTGTGGAAAATGCAATGAAGTTGCCTTTCTTCTTTGAAAGTATTCTTGACCAGCCTGGCCAACATGGCAAAACCCTGTCTCTACTAAAAATACACAAATTAGCCGGATGTGATGGTGGACACCTGTAATCCCAGCTACTAAGGTGGCTGATGCAGGTGAATCTCTAAAGTCATGATTAAGTGATTAAATTATCCTCCACAGGGCCTTGTGGATCATTAGTTTATTGAGGCTGCTGAACTAACTACATCTGGGCTAACCGCAAGAATCCCTTAGTTTTTTGTATTAATAACAGGGAGAGAGAGGCAAAGATAGAGAGGGAGAGAGAGGAGAAAGTTCCCATAAAAGATGTGGGAAATGCCTTGAGGTGAATAATTTTAGAAATCACAAACACAAATTAAATCTGCTATCTCAGCCATTGAATGAGTTGATCCAATTATGAAATCAAATATGCTTGACTGGGTTGATTCAGTCGTGAAATCAAATAAAGCTTCAGTTTGTATTAGAATATGCAGATAATTTGTAAGATAACTAGATAAGCATGGTTATTACCTTAAATTTTCAGACCAAATCAAATTCAGAACAATGAAACACTGCAGTGGTCATAACCATTAAGGAGTGTTGAATTAATTTCATTAACAATGTTTTCACTTAGAAATTGTCCATACTACTCTATTACATATACTAATAATAGCAATAATGACTAACATTATATTTATATTGTTAGTTATTAATATCTCAGTTACGTAATATTTTGCATGGGTTCCTTTGAGCCTTACAGGAATTGTGTGAGTTATTTATTTTATTTTACTTTTTTTTGAAACAGAGTCTCACTCTGTCACCCAGGCTGGAGTTCAGTGGCATGATCATGGCTCACTGAAACCTGCACCTCCCGGGTTCAAGCGATTCTCCTGCTTCAACCTCCCCAGTAACTGAGACCACGGGCATGTGCCACCACGCCTGGCTAATTTTTGTATTTTTAGTAAAGATGGGGCTTCACCATGTTGGCCAGGCTGGCCTCGAACTTCTGACCTCAAGTGATCCATCCTCTCCAGCCTCCCAAAGTGTTGGGATTACAGGCATGGGCTACCGCGCCCGGATGAGTTGATTATCATCATACTTACACTGTTGATGAGCCAGAAAAGGTAATATATTTGTTCAAATCTATTACTTATCATCTGTGTGTTAAAAGCTATAAATAGGTAAATTAGCCATTTCTATTCATCCTCAGGTATTATCTCACTGAATATTTTAATGTAATTTGTTAATGGTAAAATGTAGCTTTTTGACGTTAATAGATTTTTGTTTGTTCAATTATACTTTTAGCCTTGTATTATTGAAGATTTTTCTACTTTTCAAATAATTTTCACAAAAACTATTAGAGTTGTTTCTCACAGTGATATATGTGTTGTCTCACTTAATAGATGAGAAGCTAAAGCCCAAAGAAAGTTAGCATACTTGCTCAGTACATTCATGAGTCAGTAGGGGTATCAGCACAAAATTCTCAACCTCTCTGGGTTCTTACTTCATTGTGCTTTCTATTTACTCCTTTCCAGAAGTTTCAAATTATGCATCATTTAGGGATAGTATAAAATTTGATAGAAGAACACACTTTTTTTTTTTTGATCCACTGTTACATAACCAGAAAAACATTTGCTCTACTATGAAGGTGTAAAGGGACTTTCAGTTGACAGATTCTCTCCTTACCTAACTCTAGTCAGACTCTCCTGAACTCTCTTCACAAGAAGGCCCTGACTTTCCGATTTCCATGTTCATCTCCGCTTGGTCCAGTTTTCACAAGAATCCTGTTGAGTCAGTTTACAGAAATTCTCCCACCATTGATATGTGTGATCAAATTCCTGCCCCACTGCCCTGCCTCACTGTCAATATCTTATCACCCTGGCTGCCTTCAGTAATAATCCTGCCTAATCAATTTATCCACAATTCCCATTACTCCGATGTTTCCTCTTGGCAATTTTCCACCCACTGACTCCCACTTTGCTTCTTAGCTATAAATTTCCACTTATCCTTGTATTCAGCATACCCTGTTATTAAGCTCAATCTCTTACCCCCATTACAAAACTTCATTGCAGCAGTACCCCTGAATAAAGTCTGCCTTACCATCTTTAATACGTGTCATGAATATTTTAACATAATAACTATATGTTTAATATATAATTTTCAAGGATGAATTTCCCATGTTTGCTAATGTACAGGTATTAAGGATGGGGGATACCTGTGCTTTGTGATCCTTTATCTAACTTCCTTCACCTATAGGCAACATTGCTGCTAGATTGAGTCAGTCTTTTCCCAGGAACTCAGATTCCAACTCTAAATCCTTCTAAACATATACATCATTGTAGGCAACTGTAACAAATCAATCAAGTTGTCGCTTGAAAATATCTATGTATCTATATACACATGTACAGTTTGATTTATGCCTTTAGGCAACACACAGAATACATTTATTCTAAATCCTTTTAAATACAGATAAAACTTTTAAACATATTGCTTTGTATTTTAAACATCCCCAAATATCAGTTAAACATAAAATTATATAAAATTATATATTTTTAAAATTCTGTAATTCATTTGAATTAATTTATTTAAATGATTATAAAACTACTTTTCATGGTCTGTGCAAATACTGGGCTATTCCTCAAACCAGTCACCCACTTAATTTTCCTGACAGTTTACTTTACAAAAAATGGCCTCTATCTTTTTACAATGCTAAAACCATTGTAGGGATTGCTTACTATTCATCTTTCACTCCAGAGTGCCTAGGACAATTCCTATTGCATGGTCCTTTTTCAACCCATATTTATTTAAAGGATGAATACATGGAAGGAAAGGAGAGAGGAAGAAAGAAAGGATGAAAGGAAAGAAAAAAGATGGAGAAGGAAAAAGAAAAGGAAAGAGGAGATAAAAGGAAAAAAATGGGAAGAAGAAAAGATACGTAATTTAATTATGACTCAGAAATGGAAACATTTCATATCATTTCAAGAAGAATTCAAGGGGAATTAACATGAAAATCAACCTGTGGAAAGAAGTTGACTTATTGAATATAAGTATGTATGCTACAAAGTCACATTTTGTTAATTAGTTTTTCCATATATAAATAACCAAAGAGACCATATTTTTGCTTTAAGGAATATTCTTATTTTTACATACATTCTATACATAAATCTGTCAGTGTTCCAAAATTGAATACTATCATTTTATTTCTCAAGGGTGATTAAGTTTAAAAGTAAAATGTGGTGCTTCACAGAACACTAAACAAAAATAGATGACAGAGTAATAAATTACTTATGTAATTACTGCAGGTCGAGCATCCCTAATTCAAAATCCTGAAATCTGCAATCCTCCAAAATCTGAAATTTTTTGAGCACCCACATGACCCACAAGTGGAAAATTCCGCACCTGACCTCATGTGATTAGTCACATTCAAAATGCAGACACACAGCACAGTTTTTTTCAGCATCCCCGAGGGAAAAATAAAATTACCTTTAGGCTATGGTTATACTATGTATATGAAACATAAATAAATTTTGCTTTTAGTATTGGGTTCTATCCTAAAGATATCTTATTATATATATGAAAAGATTCTAACCCCTTCCCCACACACACAAAAAAATCAGAAATTTGAAACACTTTTGTCCCAAGCATTTTGAATGAAGGATACTCAACCTGTATAATAATTTAGTAGGTTAATGCTTACCAGGATGTCTTTTCCAGCCCACTTGCATTCATCTCTTCTGGTGTAAGATACTGGCCACACAATCTAAGGACAGAGAATAAACATTGTTTTATGTCAACTAAGTTGTCTAAGAGATCCAACACCATATAGTCTTTTAGATGACATTGGGGCAACTGAAGTAAAGAAAGTTCCATAAAGACTGTTTCAGGAAACTTTCACTTTAGACCTTCCAGTGGCGCCAGTTAATTGGTGTGAACATAAGTCATTGATTCTCCATCTACCCAATAGCCTTTGCTATATATAAAAGTTGAGCAAGAGAGAAACTGGTGTAGACAATAGATCTAAGCAGTGTAGTATGGCAAGAACTAGCACACAGATTGGGAGAGGGAGATCTTGAGAGAACGTGAGAATTTAGTGAAGAGAAGTAGAAACTGGCATAGAATATGGCTCAGATTCTTCTAAATTAGTCTTTATCATGAAATAGTGATTTTGCAGTTTTAACATTTGGGTGCTTTGGATACATTTCCCTGAAACAAATCTCAGCATGACATTTTAGAATAAGTAACTGAAAGGATTAAAAAAATACTTAGAATGGAAACTTCTCTTTTTTCTCCTCTTGACTTTTTTTTTTTTTTGGAAAGGGAAAATATTTAAAAGTAGCATGGTATATGTTAGAGAAATAAAGGTAGACTGAAGAAACAAACAAATAGCTCTAAAAGACAATCACCCTCTCTAATGTGGGCTAAAAGACTAGTTGAGAAACAATTATTTGTGTTTTTATCCCTCATATTTAGTCTTCATCCTTCCAAAACGTCCCATATTGTGTGAATACAGTGACAGTAGTAGATGAACTATGATGTTAATGGTGGCTTGGAGGACAGTGGATTCATCCCCCCAACAATATTAATCCAAATACTCTCATTTGATTTTAATATAAAATCCCCTGAGCAATTCCAATGACTCCTATCTGTATAGGGGCAGAACAGTTTGGGTTTTTTTATTCATTTTTCCTTTCTAGTAATATTATGAATAGTTAATTTCAGTGGGAAAAAAGTCATATATAAAAAAACAGAAATGATGGCACTTAATCATTCATGTCTGCTGGAAAGCTTTTAGCCTAAAATGACTGATTGTCATTCATTTGGGAACCTCCAGATAATTCAGTATAAATGATCATCAACTTGGGCAAAGGCTATGATATTCAATCTGGAGAATTACAAAGCAAAACAAAACACATTTACAAACAAGGATTTGGCACATATTGAAGTAGTGTATGATGACTTGATAAATGCATTTCAGGTCCATGTCAAAACAATATACCCTAAAAATTATTGGATAGGCATTCATTTTTAACATTAAGTTCTAAATTTGAGTATTCTTTCTATCTTATGTGCTTTCCTTTTCACATTTGCCTGCATATGTAAATTAAAATTATAGTTGAGTTGTTCCACAGGCTTTTACAAAGTAGTCACATAAAAACATTCAAGAATTCAAGATCAGTAAGTGTATCATTCTGATAATTAACATTACTCTGACTACTGAATTTCTAGAATGATTGCTGGGCAATCCCAGCAGTTGAGTCTTCACATTGGAGATGGAAAGGCAAGGGGATCTATTTTTATTTAAAGTTTATAATGGAAGAGGGTAAAACATAACTTTTCTCTAGGGCATAACAATAATAATATATAACAGTTAAGATTTACTGACTTTCATATTCAGCTTTCCAGCTAAATTGTGCTGAAATCACTGATTGTTAAAACATATATATGTTTAAAAACAAAAGTTACAATATAAAAATATATATACTTAAAAAGACAAGTTGTTTTCTCATAGTTTCCTAGCTCTCGTTGCTTAATTGTTGAGACAGTATAGACCTCATTTTATGATTCTCTGTGATTCTTTTATCTAAGTAAAATATTTATAAACAATAATTTGTATAATATTCATGCTAAAAATTCTTAGACTTAAAAGGGCCTTTTAAGTTTCCAGAGTTCCAGGGTTAATAATAATAATAATAGCAAATAAAAGTTTAGAAATCTGACATGAGTAAAATAAATTTTGATGTAGAAATGTTCTTTTGGAGAGCAATTTAATGAGGGTAAGTATAAGCCAGTGGAACAAAAGTAAATGTATGTTTAATAGTCTTTTAAGTATTCATTTCCATAAAGAGTAATTACTAATGTTTTGGATGGATTTGTTTAACTGTTGGTGGTTGGAATTCTCTTTTTATTCTTTGCTCACAAATTTCTCAGTTAACTATCTAAATTTCTTATTCTCATTTTCAAAGTGCTTCATAATCTATTTTGTACTTTTTCATCCTTATGCCTCTACACTTCCACTCATGGCAGGCCCACTTACACATGTTATATAATAAGCATTTATGCTTTAAAGAGATTGTACCCTTTTATCAAAGCCAAGAATCTTTCCACAGTTCTTCCAAACCTGAACATGTGTTTTTGCCTCGAAGAGGGATTTGCCTAGTATTTGCCCATAAGATTACTATTTTATCTTTACTGTTAACCTTGTAAGGTCATCAAGAATTATTAATAACAAACCATAAATCTCCTGTAGTGTTCATCACAATAGGCGCTTAGAAGAAAGCTATTTGAACATTACATATACATAGGTTAAAAGGAATATTAAAACACTCCAAATATATGTATAAACAAATTATTTATTTATTTATTTATTTATTTATTTATTTATTTTGCGACAAGGTCTCACTCTATTGCCCAGGCTGGAATGCAGTGGTATGATCACAGCTCACTGCAGGCTTGACCTCCAGGGCAATGATTGTCCTGCCGCAGCCTTTAGGCTAGCTGTGACTACAGGCATGTGCCACCATGCCCAGCTTATCTGTGTATTTTATTTATTTATTTATGTATTTATTTTGTAGCGACAGGGTTTCACTATGTTGCACAGGCTGGTCTCAAACTCCTAGACACCAGCAATCTGCAGGGCTTGGCCTCCCAACCTGCTGGGATTACAGGTGTGAGCCACCATACCCAGCTGATATAAATTCTTAAGTAAATTGGGTTCATTTGTATAAACAATGTGATATAATTAAAATAAATAATCTGTTTGTAATAGGATGTTTTTAAAATTAGAAATATACCCTTTATTATTAGTAGAATGATTTTAAACTCAAAGGCAAGTGCTATAACAAGAAGATCACGATTTTGGACAAATCATTTACCTTGTAATTCATTATTTTAAGATAGTTCATTTTAAGTATATTTGGTAAAAGATACTGTGATATATTCTGAGTGTACAAATGGCTGTAGAATTTTCTTAGCTGTAAGATTTTTATTTTATAATTTGATTATTTTCAGTTTTAGAAATAATTGAATAGTTTAACCACATTCAGAATATATACTCACAGAAAAATGTTAAATAAATTAAATATATAATCTTAGGTATTCTATGCTCATAAAGCTATCTATCTGTAGATATATACATATATGAATATCACAAAATGATAAATTATTATAAATACCTACAATTTTAACTGATAAAATTTCCTAAAATCAATATATCTAATTTTTCTTCATCGACTTGGTGTTTTTTTTTTTTTTTTTTTTTTTTTTTTTTTGAGACGGAGTCTCGCTCTGTCACCCAGGCTGGAGTGCAATGGCATGATCTCAGCTCACTGCAACCTCTGCCTCCCAGGTTCAAGCCAGTCTCTTGCCTCAGCCTCCCAAGTAGCTGGGATTACAGGCACTCATTACCACACCCAGCTAATTTTTGTATTTTTAGTAGAGACAGGTTTCACCATGTTGGCCAGGCTGGTCTTGAACTCCTGACCTCAGGTGATCCACCCGCCTTGGCCTCCTGAAATGCTGGGATTACAGACATGAGCCACCGCACCAGACCTATTTTGTGCTCATTTTATAAAGAATGGTTTTCTTTTGGTAAAACAACAACAAAAATCTGCTAATTTTATGATATTTTCAAAAGACTAAGATAAATACTTATCATTTCAGAAAAACAAATGAATAACCAGTATTTTTCGATAATAGATAACAGGCATTTATTCCTATCATCTGAGGGGGCTTTGAAATCAATTGAATTGAAAAATCAAAATAGAAATACCCGAAGTGATTTTTAAAGTTGGCATATCACAATTCTAAAATACATTATAAGTGTATTACCATTTTATATGACTCTATATATAATGAATCAAATTTCTTTATGTTGTGGTCAGATTTTTAGTGTTCAGGTAATGGAAGAAAAGAAAATGTCTTAGGTTTATGCTATACTCTATTAAAAATGTAAATCAGCTTTGAATTTAAAACTGCATTTTATCCCAAAAGCAACCCTCTCCAACCAGAATAAAAGCTTTTAAAAATTCTGTCACTTCTTAAAAATTATCATCAAATCTGCTATTGGTTGTGAGTAGTTGGGGCATACCAGTTCAAAGCCCTCAATGTTAAGAAGTAAAACTAATACAAATAGAAACAGACAGGGATGTATTCCAAAATGAAATTCTACTATTACCTTTATGAAAGCTACTGCATAAAGACCTTTATTCTTCAGATAATTATTATCAGAAATACTGACTGTGATAAAATGGTTCACTTAGACACAACACATATAGACTTAGTAGCACAATTTTCACTAATTTGTCAATCTATGTTTATATCTGTTAAACTGTATAGCTTATAAAAGGCCGGGCGCGGTGGCTCACACCTGTAATCCCAGCACTTTGAGAGGCCAAGGCGGGCGGATCACTTGATCAGGAGATCGAGACCATCCTGGCTAACACGGTGAAACCTCGTCTCTACTAAAAAAAAAAAAAAAAAAAAAAAAAATTAGCCGGGCGTGGTGGCAGGCACCTGTAGTCCCAGCTACTCGGGAGGCTGAGACAGGAGAATGGCGTGAACCTGGGAGGCAGAGTTGCAGTGAGCCAAGATCGCGCCACTGCACTCCAGCCTGGGCGACAGAGCGAGACTCCATCTCAAAAAACAACAACAACAACAACAAAAATATAGCTTATTAATGAAATGAGCCAGAAATACTATAAAGAATAAAGATAGAACTTATATCCTGCTGATGTCTGCATGACCACATTTTTAAAAATCTGATACTTTGATCTCCTAGATCAGGGTTTGGCAAATTTTTTGTTTAAAAGGCCAGATAGTAAATCATTTTTGTAGACCAGTTGATACCCTTTGTAACTATTGAATTCTGCTGTTGTAGCACAAAAACAGACATAGGCAATATGTCAATGAATGGGAGTGCTTGTGTTTCAATAAAACTTTATTTACAAACACTGATAGCATGCCAAATTAGGCATGTGGGTAATGGATAGATGAACTCTTCATTTTCTGGAAATACAGAGAAATATAAATTTATACCTACACACATATAAATAGTTCATGAAGTCAATTATGATGTATTGCTACGATGGTTCAAGTATTTACTTTTATGTAGGAAAAATAGATATGAAAGGGTAAGCTGAAGTTCATATTTCTTATAATGATTACTGCAAATACTGTGGTTTCATCCTTGATATTTTTTGATTTATTGCATCCATTGATTCATTACTGTCATTTTTATTTGCATCAGAAAAGACAAACTATTAATTCAAAACAATTTTCTGTCAGTAATCATGCTTTTAAATAGCTAGAGAATTATCTATAACTTGAGATGCTTCAAAATAACTATAGTGCATATATTAGAATACTGATACCTTTTGAAAATCCTTGATATTAACCAGGTCGAATGAAAATATGTGATCCTTTGCTCCAACATACAGCCTACTCCGTTCCTCATCCAAAAGGAAGGTATGATAACTGGAGCTGTTGGCCAAGCCATTGAAAGTGATCACATTGTTGGATTCCAACATTTCTGCAAGGTAACAAAGCAAAACATTGGGTATTAATGTGAAGCACTATATAAGCATAGACTGTTGGTACATGGTAACCTGACTATATTGACTGCTGTAGTTATCAATCAGTGCTTATTCTTCAGGGTACTAAGAAATATATTGGAACCAAAATGTGTGCATTTTACTTTTTTTTTTTTTTTTTGAGATGGAGTTTTGCTCTTGTTGCCCAGGTTGGAGTACAATGGCGGGATCTCGGTTCACCACAACCTCCCGAGTTCAAGCGATTCTCCCACCTCAGCCTCCCGAGTAGCTGGGATTACAGACATGCACCACTATGCCCGGCTAATTTTTGTGTTTTTAGTAGAGATGGGGTTTCTCCATGTTGGTCAGGCTGGCTTCGAACTCCTGACCTCAAGTGATCCTCCTGCCTCGGCCTCCCAAGGTGCTGGGATTACAGGTGTGAGCCAGTGTGCCCGGCCTGCATTTTATTAAAATGAGAGTTATATTCCTATTTGCTGGTTTCATACTTAATATGGTGCAGTCCTAAAGAAGAGAGGAAGTGAAATAACTTGTCTATACACACTGATCTGGCAGAATTTATTTGCATGTAGTAATGGATTAGACTGATCAATATTGTGTATAAATGTATTTAATTTTACAAAAACTTTTTAAAAGTGGTTTCATTTGTTCCAAGCCATTAGATAGAAGGATAAGCACAGAACCTAACAAAATAGGAATGTGGGGGAAACATCCGGTTTAACCTCTTAGGTTCCTTGAGGCCTCTTTTATTTGAAATATTTTAATATGTCTTTTTGATCATTAAATGATTCACTGTACTGCCTAAATTCTTTCAAGCATTTTGGAGCTGATATATAGAGAGAAACTGAGATGAGGCTTTCATGAAAACATGAATTAAATTAATTTTACCATCTGACTTCAATTTTTCATTTGTTTTTGCTCTCCAGTTTGCTTCTGCTGTGAATAGGCAAATACTAAACAATATACCTATACTTTAGTGACAGGAACACTTTCAGATTAAAAATAACATTAAATATAAGTCCATTTTTGTGCTTGGAAGCTAATTAATTATTGGCTTCTTAAAAATATGTTTTGCTCAATGCACGCACACATGTACACACACACACCCCACCCCCATGGGATAGAATTTTTGAGGATTCTCCAAAACTGTATGTCCTGAATCAGTGCTTTAGATTTTTCGGGTGCACACTTAGTAGGAAATTTTCATCAGCATCCAGAAAAATGTAGAATGCGATGTGCCTTCCGAAGAGAGAAAGCTGCAATGTAGACCTGTCCTCTGTTCCAGCTATTAACATCAGGAAACATATATTAGCCATGTGATTGATTGCCTTGCTTTATCTATTTGTCCTACTGACCTCTTCATTTTATCATTTTATCATCAAAAATATGATTTCAACAGAGGATAAAATTCATACTCTTTAACTTAGCACTAAAGGTCAGGTCACTATCATTTAAATTTAGACCCTATCCCAGTACTTCTCATGTCCTCTATCATGCGGGAAACCATGCACTGTGCTCATTCACTCTTTGGCCTTTGTTGCTATTTTTCCTGACTCCAACAGCTACAGAATAGAGCCACGCTTAAAGCTAGTTCAAATGCAACTGCCAAGAAATTCTCAGAGAGCTTCCTGTTACATTTTGCTTGAATTACTCTTATAACCTGCATCCCACTGTCAATTATTGCAATCTTATCTACCAGAATGAACATTCCCTGCGGAAATATATAATTAATAGCTCATCATGCCTAACTCACATTTTTTTTTCATATTACCTGGTCAACAATGTAAAATGGAATATCTATCTTTTTATATATTTACCTATCCTATAGACAAAAATTGTTAACAAATTGTTAAAAGATATTTTTCTCATTTCTTCATGAGAAATAGTACAATACTAGGCTGGCCTTACTCCCTACCCCACCCCACTCTCCACACACACAAAAAAAAGAAGAAGGGGAGGAAGGAAGGGAGGGAGGGAAGGAGGGAGGGAAGAAGGAAGGAAGGAAGGAAGGAAGGAAGGAAGGAAGGAAGGAAGGAAAAGAGTTTGTATTCATGTGAATCACAGCTGAAATAAATGAGAGCTGTTAGTCTCCAGAGAGGAGGGACAGAAAATCCACTACATAATATCTAAATTGAAATGGCATTTATTGGCTGGACACGGTGGCTCATGCCTGTAATCTCAGCACTTTGGTAGTCCAAGGCGGGTGGATCACGAGGTCAGGAGTTCAAGACCAACCTGGCCAACATGGTGAAACCCTGTCTCTACTAAAAATACAAAAAAATAAGCTGGGCTTGATGGCGGGTGCCTGTAATCCTAGCTACTCGGGAGGCTGAGGCAAGAGAATTGCTTGAACCTGGGAGGTAGAGGTTGCAGTGAGCCGAGATTGCACCACTGCACTCCAGCCTGGGTGACAGAGCAACATTCAGTCTCAAAAAAAAAAAAAAAAAGAAATGGCATTCATTTCATTGGCATCCAAAAGATTACAAATGATCAATGCTATGCTACCCAGAGTCAATAAAAGTCTGAAATTTCAGGCACTCTGAGTTGTGTGAGGATGGAAACGGGCTGCTGCCAGAGGCACGGGCTGTATCACTGGATATGTTCAGGCCCTGATTGAATGGTCATTCAAAGAGATCTGTTTATCAAATGGATACCCTTCATCCTTACTTCCAATTCTAAGATCTGTAATTCTACCTTAGTTTCAGAGAGGCCAAACTTTAAAAAAAAAAAAAAAAAAAAAAGCCACCTCAGCCTAAACCAAAAAAATTACATAGAGATATTAAGCAATGAAAGGGCCATGTAAGAGGTACAAGAATGGATTTTAATTGCAAATGCATAGAAACTACATAAGGGATCTCTAAGCATCAATTGGAAGAAGTTGTAGGAAAATAAATACTATAGCTACAGATTTTGGAGTTATACAGTTATAAGTAAGAACACAAGCCATCACCACAGTACTTATCTTTTAGATGTGCAAACTAGGACAAGTTCCTTAAACTCCCTGGTCCCAAGTTTTATAGAAGATGGGATGAATAATGTATCTTTTAAGAGTTAATGTATCTTTTAAGAGTTACTGAGGTGAAATTAGATAATGCCTATAAAAATACTAGAACAAGCATTTCCTAGTAAGCACTCAATTAAATATTTCCTGTTTGTATAAGTAGAAGTTAAATATTTGTAGGTTGATCTTCTTGACCAGATGTAGCAAATTACAGTCCAGATGGAGTAGACTGAAAACTATATATATTTTTTTTCTTTTTTTTTAACCTATCTTACTAAGTGTCCTAACTTGTAAACATCAGTAATTTTGTATGGTGGAGGGAAAATAAGAATAGCAGTATGTTCTTTGATTTACACTAATATTAAATGTAATGGCATTTTAAGAACAATGAAGTATTCCTTCTTGTTTTCCAGTTTATGTATTCTCAATTCTAAATAATAAAAGGAATGACTTTCTATATCACAGTTCCAAACAATGAAAATATTTTCCCAATTGAAAAATATGTTCCAGGGTGAATTCTGTAAATTAGTTTGGACAGAATTACTGTTTCCTACGTACAGACAACTTACGGAAGTTTTTGGTGGCTTATGTATGAAATCATCATGAAAACAAACCACAGTTTTAAACTGTTACTTCTCAACAGTTTGATTTTTTAAAAAAGACAATACTTTCCTGGCATATGTGTTAGCAGCTGTCTTCCACTGCTTTCAAATGTGCTTAATTTTGTCTCATTATTCCTTTCACTCCAAATCCTTTAGATGTTCTTCTCCAACACGAGATTTTTATATTGCTTTATAACTTAGAGAAGAGTCTTAAAAACTAATGTCAGTGAACAATACAAATTCTGGATTGCTTAGGTTATATCACCACTTTCCAGTGTGAGATTAAATAGAAATTGGGTGAAATTTTATTCAATAGATTAAATAGAAACATGGGTTAAAATCAGACACATTTTTTTTTCCAAATCTAGTTCTCAGATTCTTCAGTATTCTGTTTTCCTTAGTTAAATGCATGACTTTGATTTTCCTAGATGTAGAGACAATTAGCTGCCTCCAATATTAAATAACTTTGAATGTACTCCTTCAGAATTTTAAGTCTTTCTTTCGTTTCAGTTATGTATCTTACAATGACATAAACTGCTATGGGAACTATAGTAAAATTCAGTAATGTGAAATGTGTGTTATTCTTCCACCTTCTTACATCTTGCCTATGCTCATATTCAGTTAAACAACAATTGTTGTTTTTAAAAAACAAGCTAAGTTTCTATAAAATTAATTTGACTATGGTGAATCTGAATAGGCCAAAGCTTTTAGAGGCATTAATTCTCTTTGAATGTAATTGTTTTTCTCTGGTTGAGAGATTACTTCAACTTCTACATGCTGTGTCGAGCTATAAGAGAAGCAAATGTAGGATTGTAATTAAAGATGCCATTTCAGAACACTCTTTAATAAAGTATGTATTCTTAAATTTGGAAGGTGACTAAAGAAGCATTCTGTTCACTCCAGATTCACCAAAGGATTTAGTGTGTTTATGAGTTGCTTAATGACAAAATGGAAAACATACTGACTGTAAAACCAGACACAGACATGCAGTTTGTGCTCAATAACTGCTAATTATTGTCACCATTCTTACTATTATATAAGACAATGAAGACGACAAGCTTTAGTGCATAGCTTGCGGGGCAGAAAAAATCAACTTAAATAATTTCAAGTAGCAGTGTTGTCAATTATAAATAAATTGTACTCTCTTGTGATGTAGTTTCACAAAGTAGAGGAGTCTCATGAAATTCAAGATTCTTATATGTAAAGTCCATTTGATAGATTTCTATTTAAGAGTATGTTACAACAGAATAAATTATAAATTATAATTGATCTCTAATATGCTACCAGTTAATCGTGGGAGAAAAACCATATTTTATAATGAGTCAATTTTAATTTTTATTCTATTTATTTATCTATAAATGTTCATATTTACTTTTCCCCCCAAGAGTAATCATAATCTCTAATGTATATTTACTTTTAAAAAGAAGCATTTGAAGGGAGAAATTGATAGCAATCACCATCAGTTCCATATTTGAGATATTAATGGTTGTTTTATAAACTAGTGTTCTTCTCATGCATGTGTTTTGTTAAATGGAAAGAAAAAAGACACTCGCACCAAAATCATGCACGAGGATTGGGAACACTTACACAAAAATAATAAATGATGATTCACCCCTACATACCAAGACTGTATGTTTCCTGTTGTGTTCTGATTTTCTTTAGGATGAACACAGATTTACAAAGATGGTTACATTATAATGACTGGGTCAGATTCTCAAAAAGGCAATGAAATTAATACAGATTTCTGGTTTGCAAGAGTGCCCAGAACTAGACTTTTTATAGTGGGAGGAAGAACTCCTGTATATTTGACCTTCAAATCCAGACAATATCCACCCTGTTCTTTATATTTCTGACTTCTGTTATATTTCTCTGTCTCTCTTTTTCCAAGTTTGGTAACATGAAAGGTAATAGGACCCCACCAGTTGCTGGACTCAAATGAATTGCCTGTATTCATTGATGGCTTTAGGCTTATGTCCTTTTTCCATGACTTGAACTTTGTCCTTTTCATAGAACAGTCAAAGAACCCATTGAAGTAGTCAAAGGCTGGGTCTATATGATGCCAAAACATTTTGGCTAAATGATGACCACATCTAGATATTTGTAAATATTGGAAAGTTCAGTAAGGTCCAACAGTTTTAGATCCTATATTTTAGTACTTCCTGGATTTTATTTTCAATTTCATGAACCAAAAAAGTTCCAGAATAGAGGCTGAAATGAAAGTTCACAACTTTTTCTTGCATTATAAGAACAAAAAAACAAAAGCAAGGACTATTTGCTATCATTGTCATTTCATTAGAAAAAAGGGGGTGGGAGCCATTTTATTTTATGAACAAAATGATCAAAATGAGCAAAAACATGAACAACGAATAATCTTCAGAGATAAATAAATTTGCATAATGGAAAAATTCAATCTATTTTCTTTATTTCACCAAGGACTAGTTTTTAACATTTTATTACACGCAAGATTAGGACCTTTCCACAGACTGATGTTTGGCAAGTACTGCTCTAAGGTAACTGTGTGGAGGATGAATTCTACTCCTACTATTTCTGGTCAGTGCATCTTGTCATTGCGTAGATGGGGCCAATACCAATGGGCATCTATATGCTTTTATTTATTTGGTGATGCCGAGTATATTCTCTTATTCTACAATGTTTGCTTAAAATATGCATCAAGCTTACACATCCTGATCTGTTACTAACTTTTACCTTGACTAGTCTCTCCAGCCTGTGCCAGAGGCCACAGCAGTCTATGAAACACAGCTCTACCACCTTTTCCTAGGACATGTTTCCAAGCTCTTCTTCCAACTTGTCCCTTTGTATTTGTTGATGTTCTGTACTCTAATGTCTCTATCCATGAATTTATGCCAGGATTCTCCCCTACCAGATGCTTATTTTTAGTTAATATGAATAATTGTTTTTACTTGTATAGACTTTTCTTTGTATTTTAAGTTCAGGCTACATGTGTAGCATGTGCAGGTTTGTTACATAGGTAAACGTATGTCATGGGGGTTGGTTGTACAGATTATTTCATCACCCACGTATTAAACCTAGTACCTATTAGTTACATATCTTGCTTCTCCCCTTCCTCCCACCCTCCACCCTCCAGTAAGCCTCTCTGTGTGTGGTTGTTGTTCCCCTCTATGTATTGTTCCCCTCTATGTGTCCATGTGTTCTCATCATTTAGCTCGCACTTATAACTGAGAACATGCAGTATTTGGTTTTCTGTTCCTGCATTAGTTTGCTAAGGATAATGCCCTCCAACTCCATCCATGTCCCTGCAAAGGACATGGTCTCAATTTTTATGGCTGCATAGTATTCCATGATGTATATGTACCGAATCAAAGAACAAGATGCATGTACTTGAGCTTTGGACAACTCGTAAAAGTTCATTCTCAGCCCAAGCCCAGCTCCCATACTTCTAGACCCCACACAAGACACAAGTGTCCTAGGCCATGTTATCAGGGAGAGACACTATATTTTTCCTCAAATATGCTTATAAAGCTTCAAAGGCAGAACTATCTGTTATATGAATTTATTTTTCATTTTGTGTAATGTGAAAAGTATTTATGTAAAGTAAGTTGTTCATAATCTAATTTTATGATTCAGATTGTTATCACTTAACGGTCATTCACCTACTAAGTCAACAAAAACACATTTAGTCCATATTATGTATAACACGTAGACCTTGGCTAAAAACTATGTGGAGTATTAAGAATAATAAAAACCTTCATGGAAAAGTAGACAAATACCTTTAGAGAAGCAAAACCTAAATCTGTAACAGCAACAACAAAAAAAGGCTAACTATAGTTAAGGAAGTTAATAGGAGTTCATTCCCATTTTTTTCTCATGAGGAAATTGACTCAGATAGGCTATCAGGAATATCCTAGGTCACAGAGCTAGTATGATGTAGAGTTAAGATAACTATTTCCATCTGACATCAAAGGTCTGGGTCTTTCTGCTTTTCTCCGTAAACACTTCTAAGGAGGGTATATTTTGGAAAATACTAAGAACTGATTTTGGAAAAGTTTGTTACCTCTCACTCTCATATAATTTGCTTTAGCTAACAGCTCTTGCATATTTATATTATTTTATTTGCTCTGTACTTGGTGTTTTTACACAGTAATAACTTGGTGGCTAATCTTATCTACAACTATGGCTTTCACCACTAGCAGTATTTTGACAAGTCTCAAATATATATCTTCCAAGAGATATTTCCCTCCAAAGTCCAAACAAAGACTTACTAGAAACCTCTATTTACATATTGTACAAACATCTCAGAGTCCGCATGACTTAAACAGAATTCACTCCTTTTTCTTCTTTCCATTACTGACGTCATCAACTTTCTGTGTGTTTTAAGTTTGTTGTAAGTATCAATCATTACAGACCCATGCAAGCCAGACCCTTCTTCATCATTCACTAATCTGATCCATCGCTACAGTTTTGCTTAACACAATAATTTGCCCTGTATTTTCTTTTGCTTACATACTCACTGCCACTGTCCTAATTTAACTCCCCATAATGTCTTTCCTGGATTACAGTAATCATCTTCTTACAGAACTTCCTTTCCAGGTTTACACCAACAAACCATGTTATATACTGCCCCCAGAGTAAACTTTCTACAAAACACATGCACTTTCTACTGGTGAAAGATGACAGAGTAAAACCATGTGTACTCTATCCCCTTCCTTTGATTTTCATGAAAAGAAAAAAAGATGAAAAGTATAAGAGGAAAATATACATATTAAATGAAGAAGTAACACCAAAGCAATATCAAATTATTAAGGAAATATTTCAAATATAGTGAAACTTGAAACATTTTGATATAAAATGCTGAGATCTGGCATGTCTCTCCATATATTTCAAGTAGGATAGAATTAATAAGCAAAGGGTTAACAAATCATAGAGATTGCATCCATAGATGCTTTTATTACAGAAACAAGCTCTAGGAGTCTACACGACTGTAAGATTATTGGAACATGTCCATAAAGAGTGGAGGTGCAGACTGAACACAGTGGCTCAAGCCTGTAATCCCAGCACTTTTGGAGGCCAAGGTAGGAGGATTGCTTGAGACCAGGAGTTCCAGACCAGCCTCTGCAACATAGCAAGATCCCATCTCTACTTAAAAAAAAAAAGTTGCTGTGCGTGCTTCAGGCTGAGCAGGGAGGATGTTTTGAGCCCAGGAATTCAAGTTTGCTGTGAGCTATGATTACAGTGTGAGACCCTGTCAAAAAAAAAAAGAAAAGAAAAAGAAAAAGTAGAGGTATAGGTAAAGCATAAAGCCATGGTCATCATCATTATTATCATCATTTCAACTAACATGGGCAAGCCAAGCTAGGTACTGTCCTAATCTCTCTCTCTCTCTCTCTCTCTCTCTCTAACACACACACACACACACACACACACACACACACACACACACACAATTTATTGTGTATGCATTATCCTTCTTCTAAAGGATATCACTGTAGGTAAATTAGTATGAGGGCAGAAGTGAAAGGTATGAATACCAGACTATCCCACAGGGTGTTTCTGATGGGGCTTCATGAGAAACACACCAATCACACCAGTCAAGATATGAAAAAATAATAATAATAATAATAAATAAAGTGAGGTGTGTTCACAGAAGAAAATATATTAAAGATCACAGAGTGTGCTTAAAGTCAAAACAACAAAAATCATAGGCTGCAAATTCCTCCAGCTCATTTCCTCATTGTCAGAAGGAGGAAATAAGTTCACTAAAATGTAAATGAAGAGCATAGGAAAGAAGAGGAGTTGGCACAAGAAATAGAGGCTTAATTCTGGTTGCAAAAGTTACAAACTAAGTAATAATAAAATCTAATTTTTTGAAAGAGATGAATTCATTAATATGATAATAGAAATGAAAGATAAGGAAATAAAACATAAAAATAGATTGAATCTACAGATCGAAAAGTCTCTTACAGAAGTAATAATTAATAGAACTTATTAAATAAAGAATACATTTGGAATTTATGTGGAAAATTGAGTCACGTACAAGGGAAGATATCAGGTGGGCCTCATACTTGTTCAAAACAGCATTATTTGCCCCCAAACAGAAAAGCAATTCACACAAATAAGCAAGTGAAAACATCTGTGACTCAGCAATTTGTCTTTCAAATGAGAGAGGCATCTCCAGTCATTCTCAAACAAGTGAATTTTAAGGAAATAGAGCAGACATTCAAGAAACTATAACAATAACAACTTCTTAATAATGAAATTCATTCAAACAAGGCGTGAATCAAAATCAAAAGAGAACAGATATTACATCACTTGCCTCCTTAAAACCTGGCTAGAGATTTTCATTATCTATGAGATTTGGGCTCTTTATATTTTACACACTCATTTGTTTTCTCCTTCACCAATAGAGTGTGCATAAGTGTATATGCATGTGTGTTTACCCCTAAATACAGCAATATATAAATATGTATTTTATTTACATACACACACAAGAATATTTCCAATTAGCTCGATGACATGCCATCTATAGTCTCACAGATTAGAATGCTCTTTATCTCCCCAATGCTTTCCATCTTCCACCCTCACCTGCTTAGGTAAATTTATTCACCTTTCAAGACCCAAGTCAGCCTTCTCCTGTGAATTCTTGACCTTCTAAGGGACAATGCATCATGCTTTCTTTTATGAAGCATAGTGCCCTGTACATACATAGATTAATCACTGCTTTATCTCCTTAGCTCCACTTCTAGAGTTAAAATATGCTGTCTTTACTTATTTTTGTATGTCTAGCCCTAGAACCTACTCCTGGCGTATACCTACTACTGACACACAGAAGCAAGTGACTCAAATGTAATTTGAACCACATTATTTTTTTAATGCAACAAAAATTTAGAAAAAGTAAATATAAAAATATCTAAGAAAAAGCAAATGTAGCAATATAAATTTTATGTCAGGATATACATTAGCTTTGCTAATTAAGTTATAAATTATGTTCAAATGACTATTAAAATTATACCATTTAAACCTTAAATTATTTATAAACTGGCTATCAAATAACAATTAAATGGCTAATATTTTTTCATTCTATGTGCTCAGCACTGTTATGGTTGTTTTACATACAATAATCACATGAATAAATTTCTTGAGAGTTCTGTTTTGCCAGCAGCATTAAACACAAAATCTACTGAAACAGTGAAGTAACTTGTTCTTTATATTTAATTTCTCTCAATTTTGGTATACCCTTCAAGTCACTGACATATAAATTAATGAGAAGACCTTTCAAAAATGTAATGCTTTTATTAAAACAAAGCACAGACCTACACCCACCACCTTTACCTTAGTACTGTCTCACTAACAGCAGTTTGCAGTCCCTAATCTTGTTTTGCTATCTCATTTTATGCCTGTTTCTGTAAGTTTCCACAATTTACTCTTTTCTAAACCCGGCTTGCTGCCTCCTGCTTCTAGTTGATTTTCCCTTTTCTTGTGCTTCAAGCTACAGTTAGAAGCTATCTCTCCCATCAAAGACTTGAGAATTAGCAGACATCTATCCTTCGATGGATGCCTCACTGTGCTTTCATTATAACACACAGTCATAAATTAATTGCATGCCACTTTTCTGCATGAGTATTAGAGTACACACATTAGTTCTCTTAGATGTAAAGGTTAGCACAATGCCATATGGGTCAAATTATACGTGGAGGAAATGGTTAACTAGATAATCAATCATTAAATTAAAGATCTAGAGGGATCTTTAGACTGTCTGAAGTCTGACTACTTGCATTTAGAAAAGAGCATACATGACTTCGCCATTAACAGTTGCAGAGGTCAGATTTAAATATAGGTCTCCTGGCTCCACATTCGATGCTCTTTCTAAATAACTTTCTGGAAAAATTGTGACTTTAATATTTCTCCACATTTTTTTGCTCTCTGGTCCCTGATATTGATAGTAGCCTTTTGCACAAGAATATAGGCAAAAAATAAAAGTTGCAAACAATTTACAAAATAACTAATGAGCAATATTAATTTTTACTTCTTGAGGGAATAACTAGAGTTTAAATGTAATGACTGCATAAAACAAGTAAATGTCATAATGTGGACAAAAATGGATAATTCAAACGTGCATTGCTATCGGTCACTCGTTTTTGTGTGAGATGATTAGTCAGTAAAAATTTAGAATTAAAGTGTAGATTCTTCTTTTAAAATTCCCATTGGTTTTATTTAATGCTTTGAGTGATGGGCTAGTAATCTAGAAATTAAAACTTTGTTTTTGATTCTGCCTTATGTTTTAATTATTTATGAGACTCCTCTATAGGCAGGTCTCTGTTATCAGTCAGTCCACTGATAAGTGCTCATTAAATACCTATGAGCGGTAAGCATTGTATTATCATTAGCAAAATGAAAAAGAGGAGGCTTCTCTGTTTCATACAGTTGAAATATTAATTTTTCAGGCAGTCTTGCTCAATTATTTACTGTAACACAGCACATGTTTCAGAGTGTTCTTCAAATAACCATATTTCACATGGCTACAAGAAAGCACGTGTTTTTTAAAAAAAGAAAGCACATGTTTTCTGACATTTACAAATTATATATACTACATTTTCCAGTAACAAAACAGTGGAAAATATTCACATATGGAGAAATAAATAGTGATAAACCACTTTGTCACCCACTACCTGTTGCATATGTCTACTATGAGGCATTTTTAAAACTACTTAAGAATGATTTATTTAAATTGTTCTAATGCTGAGCAAAATGAGTGCTTTTGGAGAAAGAAAAGTAGTATTTTATCCAAGATATTTCTATCACTTCCATCCCAAGATACATTTTGGGGAGGAAAAAAGTCTTCCTTATTCATTGACAAAAACTGATCTGTATGAGTGCAAACATACTAGAGAACATATTCCTATCAGTGTTCATGGGTGTCCCTTTTTTATGTGAGGCAAGCATATATTTCATTCCCAGAGTGAGAAGAAAGAGAGCTCAGGAGATCACTTAGACATACTCAAGGATCAATCAAGTAAGCAGATCAGAGAGACAGGCTTGTGTGGCTGGCGGCAGAAATTACCTAAACCCTAGATTTGTCTGACAACAGGTGCTCAGTAAGTACTTACTGAATGAATGAGTAAATGAATTACTGAATAGTTGGATAAAGTAGATATGTTTATGAATGTGCAATAGTGCATATGGGTTAGATAGCTCATAATTTATCATGCTGCTCTTACTAGCTTTACTCTCTTCATTCTTTACAACATGCCTGGTGCTATAAGCAAATGCAATTTAAATTTGTCATTTTAAAAAATAGTTGTTTACCTCAGAGGTTATTTTTTTCTCTTTTTCTTACTCTCACTCTCTCTCTTTTTTCCTTCCTTCCTTTTTGTTTTTGAGACAGTGTCTCACTCTGTCACCCAGGCCGGAGTGCAGTAGCATGATCTTGGCTCACTGCAACCTCTGCCTCCTGGGTTCAAGGGATTCTCATGCCTCGGCCTCCTGAGTAGCTGGTATTACAGGCATGAGCCACCATGCCTGGTTAATTTTTGTATTTTTTTTTTAGTAGCGACGGGGTTTTGCCATGTTGGCCAGGCTGGTCTCGAACCCCTGACCTCAGGTTATCCACTCACCTTGGCCTCCCAAAGTGCTGGGATTACAGGCATGAGGCACCATGCCCTGGCTCCTTTTTTCTTTTCTTTTCTTTTTCTTTTTTTTTAAAAGAGGCTTGTAGAGAACATTGATATGGCATTCCTAGCTATGTCCTGCACCTTTATCTAGAATAAATACATTTTGATTATAAAGGCTTCCCCATAAAAGGATTTTGTTTGAATCAGAGCTCCGTGCGGAAGGATGGAAGGAGATGGGAGAGCAATGATGTTGAAAACTAACGAATTCAAAGAATTTCTAATGAACAGCATACAACGTAGTCCGGGTACATTGTAATCTTAGTCACAATAATGTCCTATTTATGATAGCACACTATAAATCTGTCTTCCCCAATAGTGTGCTTTAATTTTGGAGTGGACACATTTTGGAGTTTATGAAGTCAGATACCCTAATGACATTTGTACATAACAATTCATTGATATATTATAACTTTTCTAAGTTGATCCTTGAACAACATGGGTTTAAACTGTGTGCCTCCACTTATATTTGTATTTTCTTCTACCTCTGCCACCCCTAACACAGCAAGATGAATCCCTCCTCTTCCTGATCCTCCTCCAGCTACTCGACAAGAAGCCGCTAAGATGAAAGATCTTTGTGATGATCCACTTCCACTTGAAGAGTAAATATTTTTTCTTCCTAATAACTTTCTTAATAGTGTTTTCCTTTCTCTAGCTTACTTCATTAGAAGAATATAGTGTATATAGTACATAGAACATACAAAATATGTGTTAATTGACTGTGTTATGGTAAGGTTTCTGGTCAACAGAAGGCTGTTAGTAGTTAAGTTTTTGGATAGTCAAAAGTTATATGTGGATTTTTGACTGCACAAAGGGTTGATTCTTCCAACCCCACCTTGTTCAAGAGTTAACTGTATATACAAATAAAAACAAGGAAAAATTGGATTATCATGTAGATAAGTTGGACAAGATTAAGTTCTCCTATATCCAGCTCTCCCCAAGTAATTATTTAGCAAAAACTATCTGAAAGTATTAATTCTAGAATTTATTTTGATGGCACAGAAAAAATAAATAGCAACTTAAGGATTTTATCTTAATTGGCAAATGAGAAAAGATTAAATTCTTCCATTTTGTTTCCAAATAGTTTCTTGCTATTAATGTAATTGTCTACAATTGGGTCATATTTAGAAATGTTCTAAGATTGAAGTTAAATATTATGTGAGCCAGGTTTGGTTTAAGACCCTTAAGGACAACTCATGATTCCCTTGAATGAAGCTAAAATTCCAGCTTGTTTGTTGAAAATCCCTGCTCTCCCAGGACCCATTAAATCAAGCACACCTCTGGGTTGGAAAGGACAATAGACTAAAGATTTTCTAGACCAATGCAGGACACACAACATTAATCCTCACAATGTCAAACGTCAAATTCAGAACAAGATTTACCTCTTATAGATTGGGCAAAAATATAGCATAAGCTAATTTCTCATTAAACTTACTTCTCTACTTCATCACAAAACGTGATTGTGTACCACTGACAAAGGCAAAACAAAAACAAAACACTACTAACAATGTTAAAATTACAAGTCATAAACATTGTTTAGAGTGAAATATGATCCCTATTTAATCCCTGCTGGCCACAACATTCATTGAAAATGAGACACTAGCATTAGTTTGAAGGCAGAGAATAACAAGGGTAAAATTTGCCTTTCCACATGAAAGAAAGGGAAGTGTTATTGCTATTAAATTTTAATAAACCTTCGTGGCAGTTCAATGTGAGCAACCAGAAGAGTCATGTAACATTACTAAGGTTGCTGATTTCTTAATTCTTTCATTTTCCTGATATTTATTTTGCATGTAAAGAGTTTAAAAATGAGTATCTTTGTCAATCACATCTTTGTAACAATATTGTCATTAATCAGTTTTGGATTGAATAGTTGAAAGTAGTTTTATGTATTTAAAATTGAAACATTATTTGAGGGTAACTGGTAGGAATTATTTTTTAACTTTACCCTCAAATTAATAAATTGTTACGAAAATAATTACCTATGTACATCTGCCTCATGAAATTGCTGTAGAAGCTGAGATTATGGCGAACAGGAACAGCTCCAGTCTACAGCTCCCAGCGTGAGCGACGCAGAAGACGGGTGATTTCTGCATTTCCATCTGAGGTACCGGGTTCATCTCACTGGGGAGTGCCAGACAGTGGGCGCAGGTCAGTGGGTGCGCACACTGTGCGCGAGCCGAAGCAGGGCGAGGCATTGCCTCACTCGGGAAGCGCAAGGGGTCCGGGAGTTCCCTTTCCTAATCAAAGAAAGGGGTGACGGACGGCACCTGGAGAATCGGGTCACTCCCACCCGAATACTGTGCTTTTCCGACGGGCTTAAAAAACGGCGCATCACGAGATTATATCCCGCACCTGGCTCAGAGGGTCCTACCCTATGGAGTCTCGCTGATTGCTAGCACAGCAGTCTGAGATCAAACTGCAAGGCGGCAGTGAGGATGGGGGAGGGGCGCCCGCCATTGCCCAGGCTTGATTAGGTAAACAAAGCAGCTGGGAAGCTGGAACTGGGTGGAGCCCACCACAGCTCAAGGAGGCCTGCCTGCCTCTGTAGGCTCCACCTCTGGGGGCAGGGCACAGACAAACAAAAAGACAGCAGTAACCTCTGCAGACTTAAATGGCCCTGTCTGACAGCTTTGAAGAGAGCAGTGGTTCTCCCAGCACGCAGCTGGAGATCTGAGAACGGGCAGACTGCCTCCTCAAGTGGGTCCCTGACCCCTGACCCCTGAGCAGCCTAACTGGGAGGCACCCCCCAGCAGGGGCACACTGACACCTCACACTGCAGGGTACTCCAACAGACCTGCAGCTGAGGGTCCTTTCTGTTAGAAGGAAAACTAACAAACAGAAAGGACATCCACACCAAAAACCCATCTGTACATCACCATCATCAAAGACCAAAAGTAGATAAAACCACAAAGATGGGGAAAAAACAGAACAGAAAAACTGGAAACTCTAAAAATCAGAGCGCCTCTCCTCCTCCAAAGGAACGCAGCTCCTCACCAGCAACGGAACTAAGCTGGATGGAGAATGACTTTGACGAGCTGAGAGAAGAAGGCTTCAGACGATCAAATTACTCTGAGCTACGGGAGGACATTCAAACCAAAGGCAAAGAAATTGAAAACTTTGAAAAAAATTTAGAAGAATGTATAACTAGAATAACCAATACAGAGAAGTGCTTAAAGGAGCTGATGGAGCTGAAAACCAAGGCTCGAGAACTACATGAAGAATGCAGAAGCCTCAGGAGCCGATGCGATCAACTGGAAGAAAGGGTATCAGCGATGGAAGATGAAATGAATGAAATGAAGCGAGAAGGGAAGTTTAGAGAAAAAAGAATAAAAAGAAATGAGCAAAGCCTCCAAGAAATATGGGACTATGTGAAGAGACCAAATCTACGTCTGATTGGTGTACCTGAAAGTGATGGGGAGAATGGAACCAAGTTGGAAAACACTCTGCAGGCAACAAAAGACAAAATTGACAAATGGGATCTCATTAAACTAAAGAGCTTCTGCACAGCAAAAGAAACTACCATCAGAGTGAACAGGCAACCTACAAAATGGGAGAAAATTTTCGCAACCTACTCATCTGACAAA
Organism: Homo sapiens; assembly: GCF_000001405.40. Classification (NCBI taxonomy): domain Eukaryota; kingdom Metazoa; phylum Chordata; class Mammalia; order Primates; family Hominidae; genus Homo; species Homo sapiens. Next base: position 84,151,805 of record NC_000007.14, read on the forward strand.
GGGCTAATATCCAGAATGTACAACGAACTCAAACAAATTTACAAGAAAAAAACAACCCCATCAAAAAGTGGGCAAAGGACATGAACAGACACTTCTCAAAAGGAGACATTTATGCAGCCAAAAAACACATGAAAAAATGCTCACCATCACTGGCCATCAGAGAAATGCAAATCAAAACCACAATGAGATACCATCTCACACCAGTTAGAATGGCAATCATTAAAAAGTCAGGAAACAACAGGTGCTGGAGAGGATGTGGAGAAATAGGAACACTTTTACACTGTTGGTGGGACTGTAAACTAGTTCAACCATAGTGGAAGTCAGTGTGGCGATTCCTCAGGGATCTAGAACTAGAAATACCATTTGACCCAGCCATCCCATTACTGGGTATATACCCAAAGGACAATAAATCATGCTGCTATAAAGACACATGCACACGTATGTTTATTGCGGCATTATTCACAATAGCAAAGACTTGGAACCAACCCAAATGTCCAACAATGATAGACTGGATTAAGAAAATGTGGCACATATACACCATGGAATACTATGCAGCCATAAAAAATGATGAGTTCACGTCCTTTGTAGGGACATGGATGAAATTGGAAATCATCATTCTCAGTAAACTGTCGCAAGAACAAAAAACCAAACACCGCGTATTCTCACTCATAGGTGGGAATTGAACAATGAGATCACATGGACACAGGAAGGGGAACATCACACTCTGGGAACTGTTGTGGGGTGGGGGGAGGGGGGAGGGATAGCATTGGGAGATATACCTAATGCTAGATGACGAGTTAGTGGGTGCAGCACACCAGCATGGCACATGTATACGTATGTAACTAACCTGCACAATGTGCACATGTACCCTAAAACTTAAAGTATAATAATAAAAAATAAATAAATAAAAAAGAAGAAGCTGAGATTATGTACTTGGCTGTGTCTCTAAGTGGCAATATATTTTCATAAAATTTCCAAGATTTTAAAAATGTATTTTATTTTTATATTTCCTGTAAGAGAATTATGTAAAGCAGGCATTTGTTTTTATTAGCTTAAATGCTATTGCATTTAAACGTAAAAAAGTTGTAAAAACTAGCAGAATTGTAAAATTGAGAAAAAATTCTAGCTTTTCCCAATTATAACTGTTATTTTATCATTTCTAAGTACTCAAGGTGGAAAAATGACTTCCACTTAAAAATACTTCTACTTTTTAAAAAATCAAGAAATTAGTTTAAAAGTTCATAGCTGAGTTTGTTTGATGATCTTAATGACTTTCACCTCATTTAGTAAATCAGAATCTAAAAAATGCTACACTCTCCTTTTGATAAGCTCTGGAGTTTATCAGCCCTGCTTTGCCACTTCATTAGCTGTCAAGAACCAGTAAGTGATATTGCTATGAAAGTCTTGATTCAGGTAGTTGAAAATGCTCTTGTTGCAAAAGTACCAATTATCAACAGACTTGAAATTAAAAGAGGGTCTATCAGGAGAGGCCTGTCATCCACATACATACAGTTGGTTATCATCTTTGTAGACATCAAAGAAAGAGGGAGCATTTGAACTATCAGTAGTTCACTTATAACATTCAGAGGAAAGGATGCACACTGATTTAATATACACTGCAGCAGAGTTATTACTGACCTTAGAAATCTTACCTTATGATCATGTGATGGCAAGTAAATGAGAATAAAAGGTGAATTTTTTCCCCCAAAGGAAACAGCGTAAAATATGAAAAGATGCATGTTTTAATCTCTATGTTTAAGTAGTTTCTTAAATTTAGCCTTACACTATTTTATGGTGAATCTTTCCTTAAATGTATTTTTGTTATTTAAACAACTCTGCCATGAATTTCCCCTTTAATATAGATATACCATTTGAGGTCAAAAATGTTACTTTAATAAAATTTACTTTTAATTATAAAGACTTTTATTTCCACTCTTGCTTCTATTACACTTCTCTACAGTTAAGCATAATATTAAACAAGAAAAGCGTGTTGATATAAAATCTTGAATAGTTCAAATAAAAGTTAAAAATATTTCCTATTTACATAACACTATTTGCATATTAAGAACAATTCACCCGTTTCTTTGCTTGAAGAAAGCAAACTTACATATTAATGAATGAATCCTTTATGGAGACGTTCCATAAAACACTAGTTCCTTTTGATGTTCAATGGAATAAAGGGTTCCATGAGAAAATGAATTCAGGAGAACACTACATATTTCGTTATATTAATTTCAAATAAATATATTAAATATTTTGGGAGGTCTAGCTGTCAAGACATTTTCTTATAGAAATCTTATTAAACCAAATGTCTCTCAACTTTGTATGAGATAGAACCATTTTTTAATATATAGTGCAACTTAATTTTCAAGGAATATTTAGAAAGATACTGTAATATTAATAATAAACCTTGATTATTAAAAATACAATACAACTTATGAGTAAAGCTGGGATGCCAAAATATTTGGGGGAAAATAGTTTGGTGGAAATTGGTTAAAAATAATAGACATTTCTTAGGCTAATTATTTTGAAAAGTCAATACAGATAAGTTTCTTTCTTTAAGGTAAATAGAACATAAAGACAGGTGATGACGCCGGGTACGATGGCTCACGCCTGTAATCCCAGCAATTTGGAAGGCCCAGGCAAGTGGATCACAAGGTCAGGAGTTCGAGACCAGCCTGACTAACATGTTGAAACCCCGTCTCTACTAAAAATACAAAAATTAGCCGGGCATGGTGGTGGGCGCCTGTAATCCCAGCTACTCAGGAGGGTGAGGCAGAAGAATCGCTTGAACCTGGGAGGTGGAGGTTGCAGTGAGCCAAGATCGCGCCACTGCACTCCAGCCTGGGCGACAGAGCAAGACTTAGTCTCAGGGAAAAAAAAAAACAAAAAAAAAAAACAAAAAAAAGACAGATGATGACATTAGTGCAATAAATATTTTAGATCTGTTTCAGATGAATTTATTAATTCATATTGTCTAAATAAGAAATCTGGATGGTTTCCTAGAATTTCAGTCATATGCCTAGAATTGAAAAAAAATAGAACATGTCACTTTATACTTGCTATAAGTTTTAAGAGACAATATTTTTAGAAAATATATTTATATCAATATATTTTTGGTCAAGCCTTTCTGTTATTGGTTTATTTCGAGGCCAATTATATTTTCATGCTGAAGCAGCATGTCTAAAGTGCTTGGGTCCAAATGTCCACCTCTCTTTGAGAGCTGTGGAATCCTTAAAATGACAGTAGCTAATTTAATTCCATTTGTGTGCAAGATATTGCATTTTACAAAAGCAGCTGTTTTTCATGGACTAAGTCGAGGTTTTCTCCTCAGGATATGAACCAGTGACCTTATACTTCCAACTCAAGACCTATCTATCAGCACTCTTCCCCGTGAAGATTTTCATGACGCAGGATTCTGCCTATGATTGAATCAGCATATCCAGGACCACATAAAATAGTGTCTCTTTTAATTAGGCTCAAATGTGCACATCTCACATTGAATTTTCATATTTTTAAAAATTACTCCAACTCTCTGGGAGAGTTGTCGTCTATTTTAGCTTTCATCAAACTCTATACTTTACTAGTCCACCGCTTCCACATTTTGAGATGTCAGTGTGCTTTGGGCAGGTATGCTTCCTTCTTCCCAAACAACTTGGCAAAATCATTTGACCTCAGATAGGCCATCTTTTCCACTTTAGGAATTTCTGTTCGTTGGATTATAAATTGTGTCAACTTTTGCCAAACATTGCCTTAAGTGGTTACCAAATGCAGTGTTCTTGGCTTGCATTACTTGTTTCTGCTTTACACTCATTATCTTAATCTAATCATGTAGGAGAGGATAAGGAAGATTAAAGTCAAAATGTTTTCTTACTCTAACTTTTCCAGTAAAACAGAATTTAAAGTATGTATTCCATTTGCTGGTAAGAGCTGCTGAGATTTTTTTAAAGTTATGTTAATAATTTTTTCCTTGTATTTATATCAAAGTAATATAATTTTCAGATTCAAACATATTTAGTTTAACTGTAGGGTAAAAGAAGATTCAGAAAGCTCAGTTTTTGCTCAGAATATTTTATTTAACCCTATGATAGATTTATGACAGACCTAATGGCAAGATACTGTGTCTTTCTCTGACTCTGTTTGACCACATATAAAATACCTGTCTCTAAATATTTTTCAAGCAAACTTTATAAAGTATGATGTAATGTCTGAATATCTTTAAAGCCCTTTTTCTGAGTTAAAATGATTCCAATTTTTTAAAGTTTCTATACAGCTTTTTATAATTAGGATTTTGTAAATTATAACAAGTCATATTTTGTTTTTGCCTTTTTCATATCATCCTTTAAAATCAAAGGTTACTGGTGTTTACGTGACACATCAGAAAAAAAGAAAGAAATTATGGTGTTTATACTTTCTTACTTCTTAGGGTGTGTATCTGACTAAAGTATAGCATTTTTTGCTTATGGCTATGACAACAACTTGTTTATTTAGACTCAGTCAAATTTGAAGTCTCCACTGGTGTACCTTATATGACAAAAGTAATCTTTCAAATATTATCCATGACAGTTAATCATGAACCTCTGAAAGTGTGACATTTTGTAAATGTTATTGTTAGAGCTATGATAGCATTCTCAACTTGCTAGCATTTCCAATATAATCTATTAGAAAAAATGATTTAGATTATTGTTTCATAATTGAGTAGGCCCCAGAAATTATTGTTTTCTCACTTCCTTTAATATTCACTGACTGGATTCTGTATGAAGAAATTATTTGTAAAATATACATTCCGATTCTACGTATGTGGCATGTTTCTGTGGGAAAGTTTGTATGCATGCGAGTCTGTATACAGTGAAGATACACATGTCAAAAAGACATGAAATGTATGTGGGAAGACTATGTTTTTTTACCAGCTGTGTGTTTTAGCCATACGATTTTTTTCTCTATATATTTATTTGAACGAAAGTCAAAGTCCTCTAGCCTGACCCATAAAATGTTAATCCTTTCAGGAACATTTCAATTTCTTTTGTTAAAGGAACTCTGTATAACATTATCAATCCCAGAGCTGGTTTTACAATGTATTATTATCAAATTCTTACTTGTGACTAACCATTTCACCTGCAATATCATGGCCATGCTTGAAATGTCTATTATTCATGCCAGCACTGATTTAAAATACATGTATAGAATTTGTTTTGTCTTTAAATTCCTGAAAAATTGGCAATCAGCAATGTAATTTTCAACCTTGGTATATTTTGATCAAGTGATTAAATGCTCTATGCAATTTTCACATTATCTGGAATATATGCACGAGTAAAAATGCACTCTTTTAAATGGCAGTAAAAGAAATACTGATTATTAACATGCCTTTGTGTATTAAAGTCTGCTAATTTTCCTTCACACTGGTACTTCTGCTTTTCCAAACTTCTCATAACAATACAATGTGTGTGTTTACATGCAACAATGCAGGTATAACTACTAGCTTTAAACCATTTTTCCATGCTGTAAAATGACTACATCCTTTGAAATACCATACTTCATTGTTGAGAGATGAATAACATCTGTAGGCATCTCAAAAGCCTTGAGTTCACAGTCTTTTGAGTACTAATTTGAGAATTCACACGCACGGTTTTGTTGTTATCGTTGATGACCACAACACTGTTTAAAATCTCTTAATGTTAAGGGGACGCTGGAGAGCAGATCTGCTGGGAAAACATTAAAAGGTGGGTGTTGTGTTCTTATCTACTTTGTTTGCATATGAAAATAGTGCTGGAGCATACGGCTAGTTCAAGCGATTTTAATATTCTGACTAAGGTATCTTCAACATTTTAACTATGAGGGAATTGATAGAAAACCAGTCGTTGTAATTATCCAAATTTGGAAAGTCATTGTTAACTCCATCCTTAGAATACATCTCAATCTTACACACATCTTTCACTTGCCACCACTACTGCCCTAGTTGAAGACACTCTTCTTTTCTCCTTGGACTCATGCAACAGAATTCTAAATGGGCCTCGTGATTTGACTACAGCACTCAATGTATTCCACTCAGAACTATCAGGCGTATACATAGGTCATATCATACAATTCCCTTGCGCAAACTTCGTACCATGTTTCCCTTTACATGTGGGATAGAAATCACAACATTTAAATGTTCCTCAAGTCCCTGCCATAATAGAGCCAGTATCTAATTAATTCCTCCATCTTTCCTTACACTTAGAGATAAGTTTCTTTTCTGTCGTAGGTCTTTAGCTGATGCTATAACTTGGGTCTGGAATCTTCCAATCCTCTATACCTTTTCTTCCCTTTGCTACATTGAAGCTTATGCTTAATTTAACAGCTAATTCTTTTTTTTTTTTTTTTTTTTTTTTGAGATGGAGTCTCACTCTGTTGCCCAGGCTGGAGTGCAGTGGCGTGATCTCGGCTCACTGCAACCTCCGCCTCCCAGGTTCAAGTGATTCTCCCACCTCAGCCTCCTGAGTATCTGTGACTACAGGCGCACACCACCACACCGGGCTAATTTTTGTATTGTTAATAGTGACGGGTTTCACCATATTGGCCAGGCTGGTCTTGAACTCCTGACCTCGTGATCCACCTGCCTCGGCCTCCCAAAGTGCTGGGATTATAGGCGTGAGCCACCACACCTGGCCAACAGTTACTTCTTTATTGATGCCTTACTTGATGTGACAACAAAAAATAAACCTCCCTGTTAGATTTTCTTATGAGGGCTTATTTGCTTCAGAGCATTTATCATAGGATGAAACTCTATATACGTACTTTTCCCATAATTTTGTGCACTGCCCCTCTTCCCAACTAGATGATAAGTGTCATTTGGGTAGTGCCATGTATGTTTGTGCTTCCTTGCACAGCCTGTACCTAACACAGTGCCTGGCACACTGTCAGTGCTCAGAAGAAATTAATTAAATGAAATTTGGATTAAAAATTATTGAGAAAATTTTATTGCTAATAATTCTTACATTGACACTTGCAAATTGTTGTGATGCCTTGAATTTTAATTTCTTTCTAGAATTTTTATCATTAAAATATCCACAAGATAATAGCAAAGAAAATTTGTAGATTTTCTTTAAAAAATAATGCATATTAGTTTCTGTAGATGACAAGCATTTCCTGAATTTATATAATAGGTCACAGCTCAGCCCTAAATTAAATTTTACAGACCATGTTTTAAAGCTGGCATCTACGAAAGTAGTAGGCAATTAAAAATAAAAAAAAAAACCTTCATGTTACTTGCTGGCCCTGATAAATTCATGACTTCACATTATCATTAACTCAGAAGGTTTAACGTTTTTCATTTTTTTTTAAAGAAAGGGACTGCATATTCTGTCCACCTTCCCCTCTTTGTAGAAACTCAGAACTATCTGCCACTGTACATAGTACATAGTGAACAGCCACTTTAAATTGTTTACCAAGGTCTTAAAGGTAAAATATTCATAAAATTATTATTCACATTTTAGTGCTTAATACAATTATGGTGATACTAAAAGATTGTTTCTACATCTACAGAGGCATTTCATTCTAACTGTTACATCTTGCAAGAACAGCAATTTAAAAAAAAATCTTTTTCCGTACCTTTTTATTTTTAAGTAATTTAAAAGAAGTAGAGTGATGTTTTTGGAAGCACTGATCTTTACAAATGTATTTCTCTCCAGGAAATATTACACATAAATCCTGTCAAATAGCTAAACAAGTTAGATGCAAAACTCCTACATAAAGCTCTGTCATTCTACCCTTGACTTACTTCCAAGAGAGCTAACATAGTAATTGTGGGGGAAATAAAATTAGAACACCACCTCTTCATACCAGTAGAGAAAAGCTTTCCAACATTAAGGCAATTTGCAGTTGGTGAAGCATGCTACTTAATGATACTATAATTCAATCACAGAATAAACCATAAAAAAAAATAGTTAGACCCTTAGCTCTTGATGCAGTCTCAGGATTAATGCTTCTTATAATTTGAGGACTGGAAAGATCCAATTTTGCCATTAGTTTTAGAAAATGACTTATATGCTAACTGGATGTGAACAATTGTGTTCTAATGAGCTTAATATGAGTTTCATAATTTGTGCATTTTGCTGTTAAAAAGCCAGAAAACAAAACAAAACAAAATACTGAAACCAGTGTGAACAAGAGTTACACGATGGAAGGCATCAGTTTTCACACCAGAAGGAATAAAAACAGGCAAAAATACCATAAGTTGATCCTCAAAATATGATTGATTTTAAGCCTTATGAGATAATTGTGAGGTCTTAAAATCTGAGGTATCAAAAACTCAGAGGGAATATATATTCTTAAGAATTATAACGATTCCACATTTATCCTCATTGACAGAATTGCACCAAATATTGGTAATTAAATGTTTACTATAGACTATTTAGTGAGATTAAAAAAAACTATCAATCTGTCTATCTATCTATCTATCTATCTATCTATCTATCTATCTATCTATCTATCTATCGTTAGTTCGTTCTAAACTATGACAAGTGTTCTATCATACCCTTTATATATATTAACCTTAAAATAACTCCATAGTCAGCCTGACCAACATGGTGAAACCCCGTCTCTAAAAAAAATACAAAAATTAGCTGGATGCAGTAGCACATGCCTGTAGTCCCAGCTACTCAGGAGGCTGGGGCAGGAGAACCACTTGACCCAAGAAGCGGAGGTTGCAGTGAGCCGAGATCGCACCACTGCACTCCAGCCTGGGTGACAGAGTGAGACTCCATCTCAAGATAAAGAAATAAATAAAAACAAACAAACAAAAAAATTCCATAGGGGGTCAGGTGCGGTGGCTCATGCCTGTAATCCCAGCACTTTGGGAGGCCGAAGCAGGTGGATCACTTGAGGTAGGAGTCTGAGATCAGCCTGGCCAACATGGTGAAACCCTGTCTCTACTAATAATACAAAAAAATTACTTGGGGGTGGTGGCATGTGCCTGTAATCCCAGGTACTTGGGAGGCTGAGGCAGGAGAATTGCTTGAACCCGGGAGGAGGAGGTTGCAGTGAGCCGAGATCCCGCCATTGCACTCCAGCCTGGGCAACAAGAGTGAAACTCCATCTCAAAAAATAAATAAATAAATAAAATAAAATAATTCCATAGGATAGGTAGTATTATTTCTACTTTATTGATAGGAAGACAGGACCCTTATCACAACTGCACTTTCTGTGAGCCTCAACAGGCATGGTCACCAGAATTAGGATGAAAGGTTGTTGTTGCATGAGTAGAAGAGGATAATACTTTTTATTTAAGAATTTTAAAATTTAGGCCGGGCGTGGTGTCTCATGCCTGTAATCCCAGCACTTTGGGAGGCCGAGGTGGGCTGATCACGAGGTCAGGAGATGGAGACCATCCTGGCTAACACGGTGAAACCCTGTCTCTACTAATAATGCAAAAATTAGCCAGGTGTTGTGGCGGGCTCCTGTAATCCCAGCTACTCAGGAGGCTGAGGCAGGAGAATCACTTGAACCCGGGAGGTGGAGGTTGCAGTTAGCCAGGATCACGCCATTGCACTCCAGCTTGGGCAACAAGAGCAAAATTCCATCTCAAAAAAAAAAGAATTTTAAAATTTAATCTAGAAATTAACATGTAAAAACACAATCCTTAGACTACAAAGCACTGTCTATAGTACAAATCATCCCTGACACCCTCACGGGACATCAGGAGTCCTGGCTCTTCTACATTAGAAAAATCAGTGTTAGAAGAGTTTCACACTACCAAACTATAAAAGTAGTTGGCAAGCTCATGAAATAGGTGGCTAGAAGTGATGTGTGAAATGATTTCATTGTACAGTGTGTCTTTCCCTGCTTTTGGACATTGTAGGAATGTCTTGATTTATGGAGAGAACTGCTAGATCTTTATGGTCTAATTTTGGAACTGGTACAGAGCAGACACAGGAGGGGGTCACTCATATATAAAAATATTTGCATGTGGTATTTACTAAGGAACAAAAGCAAATATATGCTCAAAATGTGAGAGGCTGACTGTAAGAAGAGATGATATGAGTATATTCTATTTTTAAAATATTCTAGAAAAACTAATATTTAAGTTCATTTAATACTATTAATGTTTCATTTTTCTAGCACCTTGATATGAGCTTATTATTAAAAACAATACTGACAATATATCAGAAAACTGCTTGGCTCTGCAATAATTTTAATCCTGACCCTAATTCCCAATCCTTCTTAAGTATACAATATTTAACATATGGTCTTATTGGATTTACTAAAAATAAAATGTTTATATTTTGAGTTTAATGTTACTGGACAAGAATATTTAGCTTCATATAGTGCCTGTTGAATAGGATAAGCATATGTTTTGATAATTTATTTTTATATCAGTGTGCAAAAGAAGCTCTTGTATGTTTGGAATTTGTTCCAAAATGCCATTTATTAGGCCTATTTTTTCTCTAATAAAAAAAGAGTCACTACAGAAACAATTGGATGTTATTATGCTCTGTGAGTGGCTAGCAGAGTTGATCCTGTGTGTACACAATAGTAGGATTTTACAAATGTAAATGTGCAAAGGGTGAGGAAGGGTGGGGAGAGAAGAGAAAAGCAGCATGACCAGCTAGAGTCAAACCTGGGATCCAGGCTTGGCTAAATTTCAGGAATTGGACCTGGGGACCCCTCATTTGCTTTAGGGCCTGGGAAGGGAGAGACAAGAGAGAGAAACTTCATAACAACTCTCAGGAATAAAAACTGAAGGATGACTCTGATTCTAAGTACAGCAATGGTATTAATTTGTCTTTTGGCTCATATCCTCAATTTTTTTTTAAAAAAAAATAGATATGATTTGCTTAAAACACTTTTCAAAACACAAGTAGCAGCTCAACTCCCTTTATTGTACAATGTTGAACAGGCTGGGAAGGAGTCATTACTGTTAACTTACCCATAAACAACCAGAGAGCTTGGGCACCTCAGGTTCTTAGAAGCAATACCTTGCTGAGAAGCTCTGTAAAATTTAGCAAAGCTGTAGCTATGTCCACCCAGTACTACTAGGCCCAAGGAGAGTAGAGAGGCACAATTAAGCAACAGTATTATCTGTGCAATAGTTCATGCTAGCTGCATTAGATTTGTTTCATGAAATAGACTCTAGAAACTTCGATAAGTACCTAGGGAGAGAGCTACTACATGGAGGTTAGGATCTTGCATTAGGAATTGCATACCAAAGTCAAGAAAACACAAGTGATTAATCAGTGTAATTGCTGGTAAGTCAAGAAACTCAAATTCTGGGTACTCTGCAAGATAAATACCACTAACTTTTATTTTATAGGTAACCAAAAGTAAGCTATTAGTGGTAAAATAATTTGTCAAAATCCACATAATAAATTGCTAGAGCTAAAATTTGATTTAAAATTGTCGATTCTAAAATCCAAGCTCTTTCCAGTATTCATATGCTTTGTATAATATTATAGTTCCAATAAATTATACTTAAAGGTATAAATGTATCATTTTAAGCGATATATATGTGTGTGTGAATGGGTGTACACAGGTATGTGTACTTTTTAAAACACACTTTTAAAAAGCAGCATAGTGAGCGAAGGTAGATGGTAACAGCAAATATATAGTAAGAGGCCAAAAAAAAGAAACCAACTGTCCTTATGTTATATGAATATTTGTAGATCTGCCTATAATTTTCAAAAAAGGCAAAGTCAAAATGATAAACTCTGATGACTCAAAATTCAGCTTAAATAATGTGCACATTCTGATATCAACGACGCATAGAAATACCTTGAACAAAATGATATAATAAAATATGACATTGGAAGAAAGCAGTATCCCTCGATATATTGTTTTATATGTATTTTTACATGTTAAACAATAAAATAAATGGTATAAATAAATATTTTTTCTATATCCCTACATTTTATGAATTCAGGTTGACCAATATTTGGGAGAAATCTTATATGTAAATTCACGATCCGCTTCCAATTAAGTCATTTTTTTTCCATTGGCCAATATTTAGGCTTTTCAGATAAATCACATTCAAATGAGAAAATGGCAATTGATTTCACACAGTACTATTTTTTTTTTTTTTTTTTTTAAGAAGGAGTTTTGCTCTTGCTGCCCAGGCTAGAGTGCAATGGATCAATCTCGGCTCACCGCAACCTCCGCCTCCTGGGTTCAAGTGATTCTCCTGCCTCAGCCTCCCAAGTAGCTGGGATTACAGGCATGTGCCACCACGCCCAGCTAATTTTGTATTTTTAGTAGAGACAGGGTTTCTCCATGTTGGTCAGGCTGGTCTCGAACTCCCGACCTCAGGTGATCCGCCCACCTTGGCCTCTGAAAGTTCTGGGATTACAGACGTGGGCCACCACACCCAGCCACACAGTACTATTTTTACCAAATATGTTTCATCATAAAACCAAAGGTAAATAATTATTTTTAAAATACTTGAATAAATCTTGGGAACCATTTTCTGTAACTTTACTAATTTATCACTAAATGCATTGCCGTGACTTATCCTAAATTGTTACTAAAATAGAAAGATGTTTCCAATACAAATTTTGGAATAAATTTGATATTTTTAGTCTCCAAAATTTTTTATATAATTATGAAAAATTAAAGTTGTAGTTAAATACTACTCAGTGGCTGAGTAAACATTTCTTTATCATGTTTCTTTATCATTCCCTGGATGATAATGGGATAATCTTATCCCATTGGATAAGACTGTATATTTGGATAATCTTGTATATTTGTGATGACAATACTCTGATAACAGCAACAACTGCTTTGACTTATGGAATGTTTATATAGGCCACGCAGACCCATATAAACACATTTAGTCCTAGCAATACCCTAGGAGGTAGATATTATTATTATTTCCAGTTTACAGTGAGAAAATGTATGTTATGTATAAATTGCATGTAGTAAATCACTTGAGAACAGAACATGGACAGCTTGGCTTAAGAATACTCTTGTCTGTTGTACCACACTCTATATGCCCTGAAACAATGAATCAGAAAATAGTTCTTAACTCTTAACACTTTCCTTATTACCAATGTATTAGTCCCAGGTGACAAAGAATCTGCATTTTAATATAATTATATAAAGAGCTCACCAAGGAAAATTATTAACATGTGTATTTTAGAATATGCTCTAGCGCTACCTTAGGAAAATCTCAAAGTACTGTAAAACCAACACTTTGGGAGGCCGAAGTGGGTGGATCCCTTGAGCTCAGGTGTTCAAGACAATCCTGAGCAACATGGCGAAACCCCGTCACTACAAAAAATACAAAAATTAGCCAGGCATAGTGGCACGTGCCTGTAGTCTCAGCTACTTGGGAGGCTGAAGTGGCAGAACAGCTTGAGCCTGGGAGTTGGAGGTTGAGTGAACCGTGATAGCGCCATTGCACTCCCGCCTGGGTGTCAGAGTGAGTCCTCGTCTCAAAATAAATAAATAAATAAATAAAATATCTCTGCTGTGACAAGAACTCATCAACATCTCATCAAGAAATGCTGCTCTTCTCTCATCCTCTCTTAAAAGTAGACTAATATTTTGAAAGAAATTTGGACAACAATATATATTTTTAGAAATAGCTAAATTAAAAATCATTATAACTATGTAATTATATGGGGCATTTAGGTAACACCTGATGCCAATGAGTTAAAAAGCAAAGATTTATTGAGTACTTAATATGTTGGAAGAGAAAATCTTTTTCTGTTCTAGTGAAAAAAAAAATATTACATATGGTGGGCACATGAGTTCACTTGTAGCATAGCTGGTTATATATACCAGTACCTTCTTTTTTTGAGGCGGAGTCTCACTCTGTCACCCAGGCTGCAGTGCAGTGTCGCGATCTCAGCTCACTGCAACCTCTGCCTCCTAGGTACAAGTGAGTCTCCTGACTCAGCCTCCCGAGTAGCTGAGATTACAGGTGTGGGCCACCATACCCGGCTAATTTTTGTATTTTTAGTAGAGACAGGGTTTCACCATGCTGATGGACCTGGTCTGGAACTCCTGACCTCAAGTGATCTGCCCACCTCCGCCTCCCAAAGTGCTGGAATTACAGGAGTGAGCCACCCCTCCCGGCCTACCAATACCTTCTTAATAAGATCCTTGTCAACTTACAATTCAGCTTGTATTTACACTAAACATGAGTATGTATATCTAATATGTGAAAATATAAAATGTGGAGGGTGTGAAGTGGTAAGATAAGAAAGATGAGATAGAGCCAGGTGAGGTGGTTCATGCCTATAATCCCAGCACTTTGGGAGGTCAAGGCAGGAGTATCACTTGAGCACAGGAGTTTGAAACCAGATTGGACAACATACAGAGACACTCTCTCTTGAAAAAGTAAAATAAATATTAGCTGGGTATGGTGGCGAACTCCTGTAGTCTCAGATTCTGGGGAGGTTGAGGTAGGAGGATCACTTGGGCCCAGGAAGTCCAGGCTATAATGTTAGCAATGATTGCACTGCTGCACTCCAGCCTGGGTGACAGAGTGGGACCCTGTGGAAAAAAAAAAAAAGAGGCCGGGCGCAGTGGCTCACACCTGTAATCCCAGCACTTTGGGAGGCTGAGGCAGGCAGATCAGGAGGTCAAGAGATCGAGACCATCCTGGCCAACATGGTGAAACCCCATCTCTACTAAAAATACAAAATTAGCCAGGCGTGGTGGTGCATGCCTCTAATCCCAGCTACTCGGGAGCCTAAGGCAGGAGAATTGCTTGAACCCAGGAGGCGGAGGTTGCAGTGAGCCGAGATTGTGCCATCTCACTCCAGCCTGGGCAACAAGAGCAAAACTCCGTCAAAAAAAAAAAAAAAATTGCCGGGGGGGCGCAGTGGCTCACGCCTGTAATCCCAGCCCTTTGGGAGGCCAAGGTGGGTGGATCACGAGGTCAGGAGTTCAAGATCAGCCTCGCCAAGATGGTGAAACCCCGTCTCTACTAAAAATACAAAAAAAAATTAGCTGGGCGCGGTGGCAGGCACCTGTAATCCCAGCTACTCAGGAGGCTGAGGCAGGAGAATCGCTTGAACTTGGAGGGCAGAGGCTGCAGTGAGCCGAGATTGCACCACTGCACTCCTGCCTGGACGACAGAGTGAAACTCTGTCCTCTGTCTCAAAAAAAAAAAAAAAAAAAAAGAAGCTGAGGTGGGTAGCAGCAATGTTGAATTAATAATGGACAATGTATTCTATATAAATTTGTGCCTATTTTGCTAGAAGAGTGTCTATCATATAGTGAGTGTTGAATACTTGCTGAATGAATGAACGAATACTGCAAAAACAGTTCAGATTTTTGCAGTCCTACAAGATGTAGGACTGATGTATGGCAAAAATATACATTTATCCAGAAGATGAAGAGGAATCATTGCAGAGGAAAAAATAAATAGAAGGGACCTAATCAGGATTTCAGGATTGAACCCTAGAAAGGTCACATGTGGTTCTCAAGCTGCCTTTGGGGCATGTGGTTGATATGTCTAGGTGGCAGTTGAATAAAGCTCGAAGTCATACAAATTCTTACAATATATCACAGCCACAGCCATCCTCTGAATAATAGAAACAGTAGTTCCTGGCCATGTTTTATATCATGCAACCACAATTTAATGGATTAGCTATCTCTGGCTAAGCCACAGTCTCTATTCTATATACCTCTGACATGGCCTGGTATCATAACTCTTTTCAGTAGTAGAAACATTTTGTTATTGAATCCTATCTGAAAAGATTAAATTGAATCTCTTAGGGATTTTGAATACTAGAGACACAGAGAGTTGAGTATGGCAAACATCCAGACACATAGAGAGATGATTGTAAGAACTCATGACAATAAACGTCACAAAAAGCAGAAACTATGAGGTGGGGTAGAGTGCAGAAGAATTGGTAAGTGGTGTTAATAAAATAAGACAAAGGGAAATGATAATTATCTGGTACAGGCTTTTCTATGTTAGACAGATACACAGTTTGAGAATTCCCAATTTCTTCATTTTTCTAGTTCAGCTTAATGTCACTCCAAGAGAATAGGATAAAAGTTAGCATACTATTCCTTCTAAAATACAAATGTAAGAAACAAGAGCCATAATATTGAGACTAATTTGATGTAATAGCTCAATTTTGTAAAGGATTCATGATCATGTCCATCTTTTGAAGCTAAAAATGAATGGCAGTATCGAAGTGGATCATAGATAAAACCAACAATTAAGTTATTAGAAGAAATTACTGTTTAGAGTTCCTCTGTTTTGTTTAATCATATTTACTGTTTTCATTCCTGTAGATTATAAAACCATATCTCACTCAGTAAGTGAGGTATTACCTATGAAGAAATAAGGCACCATATTTTAAGGTCAAAGATAATTTATACGCAAGTGAAATAATATTCTGGAATTCCATGTTTCAGGCTGATACTCAATTACAAAACACTGCTTCTGAAAAAGGACAATGAAAAATAAACAAAGAGGTAGCAAGACAAAATAATGTGCCTCTTGGGTTGTTATTTCCTATATTCTCATGATTTCTGCAAAAATCAAACTAAATTAATGGGTATAGTCTCCCTCTTTAAACTTTTTAAATTTATGATGCGTTAATAAACTCTTTTGTTCTGTTTGCAGCCCACATGCTGAGATAACAATTTATTTTCTATTGTTTTAACTTCTAACACTTTAATATTTGGATTTGCCAAAAGATAAATATATATAGGTCTTTTTACATGAAAAACAGCTAGGTTTCTGTAATGTTGGTTGTTTCATTAAATAAAAATAGCAGTAATATTACAAATATACACAGAATTACTAAAAGGAAGATAACTTCTACAAATATAACTGGCAGTAGAAATCGACGTATTTTCCAAATTAAAATAGCATGTTTTATTCAACCTAGAGAGAAATAAATGATGCCTATCTAGTTATGAAAATTATACTTTATTTTAATCAATTTATGCCATTTTATAAGCAAATTAGATGATTACTAGAAAGGCATATTATTTCAGAATCTGATGAGAACTAACTGACACCTCACATAATACCTACCAGTTCAGAACATATGAGGTTTTTTTATTTGCATTAATATTTTAATGTAAACTTTTACAATTATCTTCAGTATCTAAATTTATCAGATAATAGTTTAAATTTCTTTTCTACTTGTATCTCATATAACTTTATGTTCTTGAGGGTTCAAGTTTGTATTGAATTATATAATACTAGAACAGTGAACATACATTAATGTCACCTGACATGCTTAAAAAATGTTGAGGCTAATATAATTGATCCTGAGTTGAGGTCAGGAGCCAGTATTTTATTTTTTAACAATCTCACCAGATGATTTTAATGCATACCAAGTGTTTCAAATTCTATATTGTCCCCAAATATATTAATCACTGTGATGAAAATAACATGTCTATTGTAAATTATAAATATTTCTATTTCTATTTAATAAAAACATTTCCCAAAAAAGAGCTTCTTTATTATTTATGAAAATAATGAATATGATCAAATGTTTTAAAAACCTAAAATGAATGGGCCATAAACCTATCTCTCCCACAAGTATTCAAGAGTGAAAGCCTAAGTTAAAATTTCATAATTAATAAAATTAATATATTCACTTATAGGATGTCTAATGTAATATAACATACTATTGTAAAATTTGAATAGTGTAGATAATCATTTATGTATTTAAATAAATGCTCTTCACTATAAGTTTTGTTTACTGAAGCAATATATAAGTAGTAGTGAAGGATTTTTAAATTAATTACAATAAGTTCACTGTATTTCCATATAAATTATTATATAATACTATATATAATAATAATTATATCATTTCTATTGTTCAGATATTGAAACGTAGATTCATAATATTAAGATGGAATAATTTTTCCAGAAGTTTCTTCTTGGCTTTAAAAAACCAAATACCATTTCTTTGTTGTTAGATCACCATAGATAGTCTACAATTAATCAATCACAAAAAGAATGATGCCTTGTTTGGAAGTAAGATTAAATAATGCAATTACAAATTGCAATGAGATTAACTTATTAAGGCACATGATAAAGTCAATTTAAAAAATAAGACACTATTTGTTACAAATGACCATAACTGGTAACAATTCCTTTGCATAAATCTTCAAGGTTGTTTAGCAGAAAGGATATTACTCTCCTCATTAAATAGCTTCATACTTAACAAATATTAAAACCCGAAACTCCTAGTCTATATTTATTTAAAAATAACATGCCCTCATTAACTGAGAATTCTAGCAAGAAAAGTAAAAATTTTAATAAGAAAAATGAAAAGAAAGGAAATGACAAATATTAAGTGTCACCAAGCACACTGCAATTTCAGTTTTCAGTTTGCAAAGATGAATGATACTTCAGGTGAAAATAGCTTTGTTAGTACAGTCCTGATGTAAGTTATGGAAGATGAACACTGCCTGGTGCTCTCAGTTACAATGACTCATTATCTTGTAACGATAAAAGATTTTAAACACGCGTTGCTTTATATTTTTCCCATCTTTTTATTTATAAAAGCCTTAACATTTCATTTAGAAAGTAAAAGTTACTTTTGTAATACACAAAATTAAAATGTATATGATGTGCAGCTACTGCAATTTCTCAAGGTGCTTGATTCCACATGGCAGTGACTTCGTAAATGAGATTTGAGTCTTTTTCAGTGGTGCTTTTTATGCTAATAACTCTACACTTTAACAAATACTTTATTTGGTTTATTTAGAAAATCCTATTGCAAATTTTATCTGTTATTTACTATATTTACATTTGTAACAATCATATGAGATAAAGTTTATATGTGTGCATAAAACTTTATATGGAGAGAGTTTTCAAATGGAATACAACAACTGAAAATTATTTTAGGGTATTTTGAATAAAGTAATTAACTTGTTTTATATAGATAATTACATATTAAAATCTCTGAGAATGTTTTCAGATTTTTCTTGTATTTAAAATTTTAATTATTGGATGTGTACAATTGATCCTCATGAAAAGCTCTTGCTGCATAAAGGGATTTCCAAGTTGGAAATAGTGTGTGGCTTTATGTTTGCCAAGTGTTGCCATCTTAAAATCTTGACTGTTGAAACAATAACATTTTGGCTGCTTTTATAACACTCATTTAATGTTTACAGTTTAGTAAGTGTGCATTTTTATAAACAGAGGGCTTACCTAATTAAACTGGACCGTGTAAGAACTAGGTCAATGTATTATGAACAAAATAATCCCAATATGGTTGGGTTATGGAACAGCTCAATTTTGCTCATTGAGTTCTATCGATTTTTGGCAGAGAGAAAAGAAGGAAAGAACAGATGGTGAAAGAAAGAAATTGAGCTGCCAGTGATGGAATACACTATCACACTGAATTATAAAGAATGGTGCTCTAATCCCCTGAATAGTTATTTCAATTAGAGTACAAAATTAACACATACTGCTTATTTCTGAAGCAACATAATATTTTAAACAAAATGAACATAAATTTAAGTTTCATGTTGTGATGAACCAGTGTTAAAATATGACATCATACAAAGTAGGAAGGTGGCTTTGTGCACTTAGATTAATGAAAACAATAAATTGTATTTCCCTCTTTGGGTTGGAGAGTGGAGAAAGATTTGCACTTCTTCACTGGCAATTTCAGTGTTCAAACTGAGGGACTTACAACACTTAGAAATAGGTGAAGCTTCTGTATATATGTTAATTACCTGTAAATATGTGGATTAACACTTTGCCCTGACAAAGATTGGAGAGTGTTCTACCTTCAAATAAACAAAAATCACTAAAAAATTAATTTCAAAATAATAACATAAAGGTCTCAATTTAGAATAATATGCAAATTAAGTTTCTATAGGCATTGGTATGAATTCAAATGTTTTTTCATATAAGTTTCTACAAATAATATCTTAAACAGTTTAGCTGTAGTTTCATGTAAGATTTGTAAAACCTAAGATGATGTAAATGTAAAAATATTAATCAAGAAATTACAATTCTCATACTTGAACTGCTTTGATTAAAAAAATATATTAAGGGAGGACCAAATTATTTTAATGCTAAATATTTTAAACTTTTTTTACTAAAAATTACATTTTATTCTGCTTAAATTGAAACATAATTATTTTATGTCTTTTGCATTTGCTGTGTCATGAGAATAACAATTCAAACCATATCAGGCTGCTTCAAACAAGGGTCAAAAAGGGAGACAACCATTAACTTATAAGTTCAAGTGGTAGCAGAAGAAAGCTTCCTCAAAATCAAAAGTAAGAATTCACTCTACTTTTTTCAAATCCCACATTCTTTTTAGGTTTTGTATCAGAATTTGTCTATAATTTGTGAGTTAACTGATATATTCATTTTACACATCTCTGTTTTTAGTCATTAGTATTAAATAGACCTTCGCTCTCTAAAAGAGCAAAATGAAAAGCTCAGTCATTTTCAAGTGTCATTTAGTTAGCCATATGCACACTCCATGTGCCACATATATATAATAAATATTTTTGACACTCTAGGTCAAGAGGCAACATTGAAAATATTGTGTACATATATATAACAAGAGGGAAACATTGCCCTACATCTTTTATTGACAAAATTTGAAGCTCTATTTATGGAACTGAAGTTTGAATTTCATATAATTTTCATGTCACAAAATATTCTTCTTTTGATTTTGCTTTCAGCCACTTTTTCTTTTCTTTTTTTCTTTTTTGAGACAGAGTCTCGCTCTGTCACCCAGGCTGGAGTGCAGTGGGCTATCTAGGTTCACTTCAAGCTCCGCCTCCTGGGTTCACGCCATTCTCCTGCCTCAGCCTCCCGAGTAGCTGGGACTACAGGCATCCGCCACCACGCCCGGCTCATTTTTTGTATTTTTTTTTCAGTAGAGACGGGGTTTCACTCTGTTAGCCAGGATGGTCTCGATCTCCTGACCTAGTGATCTGCCTGCCTTGGCCTCCCAAAGTGCTGGGATTACAGGCGTGGGCCACTGCACCCAGCCTGCTTTCAGCCACTTAAAAGTGTAAAAACTCTTCTTAGCTTGCATGCTGTCTGAAAACAGGCAGCAGGCTGGATTTAGCCCACAGACTATGATTTACCAACCTCTCAGTTAATCTATTGTTTTATTTTTGTTTTGGAAAATATTGAAGTTCTAGAAAAAACATAAATTTCTTTTCCTGACTTATTACAGGTAACTTAACCTTAGATTTTTGTTTCTGAGATATGTACCTGGGAAAGTTTTGGGAAAATATTAATCCATTCAATGACAGAATTCTACATTATCTTGTGTTCCTGTCCACAAGGTAAAGGGTAAGTTTTTGTTTCTGCCAACACTTTATGACCATATTTTCAGAGGAAAAGTACAGTAGGAAGCGATAACTTTTTGAAGTAAAAGCATAGTTATTATTTAATATTTTACTTATTATGTATGCTCCAAGTTTCTCTCTTGTGGGCCTGTCTTTTGTCATATCATTTTTAAAGTATCCTTCCTAATCATTAAAAATAGTGAGAATCTTCTATTGAACCCTCTGAATTATCTTTAAAAGTTTTGGCCAGGCGCGGTGGCTCACGTCCGTAATCCCAGCACTTTGGGAGGCCGAGGCGGGTGAATCACCTGAGATCAGGATTTCAAGACCAGCCCGGCCCACACGGTGAAATCCCATCTCTACTAAAAAGATACAAAAAATTAGCCAGGCGTGGTGGCGCATGCCTTTAATCTCAGCTACTCAGGAAGCTGAGACAGGAGAATCGGTTGAACCCGGGAGGCGGAGGTTGCGGTGAGCCGAGATCACGCCACTGCACTCCAGCCTGGGCAGTAAGAGTGAAACTCTGTCTCAAAAAAAAAAAAAAAAAAAAAAAATTTACAAAAATTGTTGTTTTACTTTTTAGAAAGATGTATTTGATTAGAAACTGAATACATTTCTACATAATGGAGAAACCCAGCATGACTCAAGGTTTCTACTCAGCTACCCCATAGTGCCATACACCAAGTGGTAGAGCAAGGGCTTCCCAATCCCCCTCCCACAGATGGGTACCAGCCCATGGCAGATTGGGAACTGGGCCACACAGCAGGAAGTGAGCAGCTGGAGAGCAAGCATTACTGCCTGAGCTCTGCCTCCTGTCAGATCAACGGGGGCATTAGATTGTCACAGGAGTCAGAACCCTATTGTGAACTGCACATGTGAGGGACCTAGGTTGCATGCTCCTTACGAAAATCTAATGCATGATGATCTGAGGTGGAGCTGAGCCGGTGATGCTAGCGCTGGGGAGCAGTTGCTAATAAAGATTAACATTAGCACTGAGGTGTGACTGCACAGAGACCATAAAAAATCAATTGCTTGCAGGCTCATATTGAAACCCTATCAGTCAGTAGCAAGTGACAAATAAGCTGCATCTGGTGGCAGGCTTTATAGTGGCAAGTGAGTTGAAAAAAAAAAGGTGCACAGTAAATGTAATGTATTTGAATCATCCCAAAACCGTTCCCCTCCACCAGCCAATCCCAGTCTGTGGACAAATTATCTTCCATGAAATGGGTCCCTGGTGCCAAAAAGGTTGGGGACCACTGTAGTACAGGACAAGAAAAAACTCTGGAAATTTTACATGAACCAGGTCCAAGTTGCCAGCAATGCTGGAGTAATATTTGGATTTAAGGAAGGAACTTAGGGTTTAAATAGTGAAATGTGTGAAGCATAGACGTTTTTCCTTATTTCAGTCTCAACCAGCAATCATTTAGAAGTTTCGCTTGAGCTTTGCATAAAATTTTCATTAAGTCTATAATATAATGGTTTATATACTGAAACAACTTACGCATCCACAAAAATCAGAAGCTAGAACTATTTACTTTTGCAACAGTTACTATTTACTATGTTTGTTATTTCAGTAAACTTAATTATGTAATGGTATATGATTATGTACTACTGGAGAGCTATACATTATCATTCACCTCAAAAACAATGAAAGTTTTTATCCAAATCATGTATTAAATAAAGAGATAGAACAAATGAAGATATAAATTATAATTAGTATTCTTGTAGTTCTAATTGTTCATCTTTATATGTAGTCAATACGCTTAGAAGAAAGCTTTCACTTTTTCAGAAGATTTTAGGTGTTGTTCTGTGTTTTAAGTGAGGAAAAGAAAAAAAATTCTTGTTAAATTCTTGGAAACATAATATTTTCTAAAATGTTTAGCATCTCAAATCTAACAGCAGTAATTTATAGCAAGAATTTTTAGGACTCTGTGATTTGACTGTTAATTTTTTAATCTTTTTTTTCTTTTTTACTGTAATGAGTATGCGTAATTGAACTCTTGCAGCCTTTGAACGAGAGTCTCTTCCACTTGTCTGGAATCATATATCTTCAGCCAGACCAGTGATTAAAAGTAAGTAAGGGGTTTGGTGTCCAACGGACATGGAGATTCTAGCTTTTTTCCTACTGCTTGTTCTACTTTGAGCCTTGGTTTCCTTATCTGTAAAATGATAGAAAATGCCTACTGTCTGGGTTTGCCATGATGATTACATGGGATAGTTTACATAAATTCATAGAATCAATTCTGGCCAATAATGAATATCCATTAAATGGGAATTATTAATGTTATTTTTAACATCACCATTATTTACTGTAACACAAACATACGAATTATATTTTTTAATTAACATTAAAAACAATTGTTTTAAAGCTAACCTTATTTCAAAATGCATTATGTATGAACATTAGGAAAGACTGATCTCAAGCTGGCACCTGACTGTGTTACGTAGTCCCATGGGGCATCCTGAGTGTCAGCTTCCCTTGTAGGGTTCACCACCAGGAGGTATACAGCAAGTAGTAATCAGTAGTCTGTATCATTTAAGACACTGGTTCTAGGGTTGGAAAGGGGAATTTTCTTGTAAACAAGTTCCATTTCCTTCTTTCAGAGTCATCTGGATGTCTGGAAGGTAGAGTATGAAACAGACAAATGGTTTTTGTTATCAAAATGACAAATGATGAATGTTATGGTTGGAAACCTACAGCAACCTTTTTTTTTCCCTGTCTGTTATCACATCCATTATTTTGAATAAAACAAACTGATAAATAGTACATCAGTTGTAGATATGTACTATTAAAAGCTGGGTACGTGAATCCTAAATGTCTAGAAGTAGGTACAGGAGCAGACTCTGTGAACCTTCCTTGCCCCACAAAAGAATGCTCTGAAGTTTTATAGCACTTTTTATTTATGGTCACAGTGATCCACCAACACTAACAAGCATTAAATTTTCTCAGCACTCCTATCACTTTATTTGACATGGGAAATTATTAGTATACTATGGCCTAAATATGCAAATTCTGAATTAAAATGTTCAATGCTTATCTTCCTTAAGAACAATTATGTCTATTTAGTGGTTTCCCTTTTTAATAATACAATAATCTTGTTTCCTGGGGTTTATAAATTGTTTAGGATGCAGTTCTCCCATTTCAGTTGACAGAAATCATGGTACAAAATATACATTACGAGGCTATTCTGTGGTATGCTGTAAATTGCCAAAGCAATTTAAGTGAAGGTCCCAATTAGTATAAATAGTAAGAACTTTGAAGAAAAGGACCAGCAAGTCAAAAAATTAGTATCCAGACTGGAATGAAGATCAGAGGGGTGTAAATATGTTTTCTATTGGGATTTCTCCCACAAATGGTTCATTTTCCTTGTATTTAATGGAAAACATACCACGAGTTGGATGTAAAACCTATCAGAAATTATTCATTATCTTCTAAGATGTATGAGCATATTTATTTATGAAAGATGGTATGGAACATCACTAGGGTGCCAGATTAATGCCTATGAGTCTATAACAGTGGCTTAAAAATCCCAAGGATAATAGTTTAAAGGATCAGTATTTGTAAACCAAGTGAATAGTTTAACATCTAAAACTTGAGTGGTGTTTAAGAATGTAAACACATTTTTTAAGCATTTAATCCAACTTTTGGACCTGACAGGGAGCAATTCCTGTCATTCCCTATTCAATCACATTTCCAAGCCACTCTGACAATGTTAGTTTGTGAAGTGGAAGCAATGACTTTGACAAAAGTAAATACTTCCAACAATTCAGTCTAGTCATTTTTCCTAATAGAATGCACGAAAGTTTAGGGTGTGCAACATGCAATTTCAGTAGTGAAGATAACTGACTATGGAAACTGGAAAAATGCCACCATCTAAGCCTTCTTCCACTGTTGCATAACAATATCTAGCCCCGAGCCATAAAATTAGACTACTTTAGTGGTGCTGTCAAGTTGCTTGGCAGTATTTTTGGAATAGTGTTCTATTATTAGGAACACCTAGGGAAAATGTTGAGAAAATGCCTTCAAAAAGTAAAAAGGACATGATGAAGCATGTTCATTCAAATAAAGCTCATGCATCTACAAGAATCACTTAAGTAAAAATAGTTGAAAGAATAAACCCATAATCCAGTGGAATGCCTTTAGAACTGTTATATCAGAAGACAGAATGAGAAAAAGATACAGCATTTACTGTATGTAGCTGGTATGGCTCATGAAGTTTATTTTGATTTATCAAATATCAGAAGACACATTATAATAAAGCAACATAAACATAGGTTACTTGTATTTGGTTTACCTCAGTAGGCCATGCATTCATTCTCCTATGTGTTTATAATATAAAGTTATCACCTCTGTTCTTTACCTACAGCCTCTGTCCATTATTGTTAAACAAGGTAAAACACTCTGTTTTCCTGGGCTAAAAGAGACTACATATTCTTGAGCACAACTTCAATAATAAATGAAACTTAATGAAATTATGGGAACATGTTATTCAGTAATAATGATAAATTGTTTTTTATAGGTTTTGTTCCATGCATATTTATTATGCTCACTTTTTATAAAGTATATTGAGAAAAAAACCCTAGTAATTTTTATCCAACAATTAAATATCCTCTACAAAAGTATAAATAATTTTGTAAGTTGGAGTTGTTTCCTCTCTAAAATGAATGAGAGATGTAAGAAGAAACAGAAGTATTAACTGATTTATTTTTAAGGAAAGTTTCTCTTCCTGAATTCCACCTCACAACATCTTTTGTTTTCTCTGGATTCCACTCTTCTGATTTGATTTACTTCCACCCCTTTAAATGTCATGATAAACTTCTGGATATAACATTGTATTAAACAACTGTATTGTTAGCTGCAACTACTGGAATATCTTGTCATCTTGCTCTTTCAACTCTCTCCTAATGTATACATATTGGCTTAGTCACTCTTCATCAATCCTTTCAGAAGACAAAGAGAATAATAGAAAGTCACACACAACAATTACTATGTAATTCATCAAATGTAGCCACACTGAATGAAATTATTTATTCAACTGAATGGTTAATACAATGCAGGGAAAAAGCAAACAAATTATCTTTTCCTCTCCAAACATAGCTTGTGTATTTACCTAATTGCCCACACTATTATCTCAACTCTTGAGTTATCTTACTTGTCTTGTTCCTTCGATCCACAGCTCTTATCTAATTCCTTTGTAAATAAGGCCTCTTTTGCTTTTTTATAACACTTATTGTCTATTCAGCACTTTGATCGCTTGACCTGGTACTTCATATTGTGAGTCATTCTTACATTTTCTATCAATGTATAATATTCACTGAGCCTTTACCACGCCAAGCCCTTTGCTGAGTGCTCCCTGTGTCTCATCCATACACATTTTTAACAGGCACTGTCCAAGTCTCATGTAATCTACACAACAATCCAAAAGAGGTAGATCTTTTATTATTATCCCTATCTTACAAATAAATATTAAGTTTAGTGGGTTATATTGTCCAAGGTCACACAGAAAATTAGTGTCAGACTTGAGCTCAAATCTCTCTGATTCCTAAAACCAAGCTGTTAATTACTATACTGATTACAACTAAACTGTAGTTCTTAGTGCCTTGCTAATGTACCCAAATATATAAATTAAATATAATAATTATTGCAATTTTATAAATTATTTAATTATGTCCATTGGAAACTAAGTGAAAGAGGCAACAGACAATTACTGACTACCTCTTTTGTGACGTCCTTTGTTTGCTCATAGAAGTTACTTGCCCATGGTTATTCAATTAGTCCCTGAACTTATTTGATACAATTTTCTTACAAATGTCTTAGCAAACTAAAATACTGAACATTTAATCAGATGCTGGTGACACTTTCTCTCTTGCTTTTCATTCATTCTACTTCCTTCAGCTAGAATGTTCTCCATTCTTTCCCACCCCTCCATGCCTGCCAAACGGTTCTTTGATTCCTACTTCAAATATTTCTTTTCACATAAAGACTTTCCTGACTTCTTGACCCACTGTGATATCAAATTTTCTCAACACTCACAGTTCTTTATTGGTATATATCACACATTTTCCCCATAAAGTGTGTTTTGACATACTTGCCTACCTTTCCCATTGAACATAAGTTCTTTGGTGCAGAACATATCGTACTTACCTATACATATCCCATAATTAATATTGCACTACCTTGACTATTAGTACTTATTAGAAGAACGATCAAAGATTACACAGTCTCTGATCACTGACATACTTGGATTTTCAAAATTGGCTCCCATTGTCTTATTATCTGCCACTCCATTCCGTATGAGGTTAAATTAATTTGTTGTTTCTCAGATACACAGCATACATTAATGCCTCAAGTCTCCAGACAGTGTGCTTCTACTAGAAAGCCATTCTCCATTTTTTTCTTGCAAAACTTTTCTCATCTATATAGGTTCAGTTTAATGTTCTCTACCTGTAAAACATATTTTCCTCATACTCAATAGCATATCATAGAATAATTAACAAGTCATTGTCACCTCTGAACTTTATAGCATTTGTTTTACATCTGAATGATAGACCAATTTGCTTTGTCATTGTGTGGTGTATTTTCTCCAGCACTATGTTGTGAGGTCTTGAGAACAGAGGCTAATCCTATGTTTCTTTCTACTCCTAGTATTATTACAATGATTGCTGCACAATCATACTTAATACATCTCTGTTCATTTGAAATTGATTTAAAAGTTTTAAAAGAACATTTTCTAGATGAGAAAGAGAACAATAAGTATAGAAGCAAGAGTGTAATATTATGAAGACAAACATCAAGAGTAATCAGAGTTACCCCGGACCCCTATACCAAATTGTAACAACAACAACATACAAACACTCACATATTTGAGTTTTCTCTCTTCTGGCAACTTTCATATCTAGTATGTTTAGTCAATGCATCTCTGCTTGACTGTTCTTTTTTTTTTTTTTTTTGAGACTGAATTTCGCTCTTGTTGTGGCGCGATCTCGGCTCACCACAACCTCCACCTCCCGGGTTCAAGCGATTCTCCTGCCTCAGCCTCCCTAGTAGCTGGGATTACAGGCATGTGCCACCATGCCCGGCTGATTTTGTATTTTTAGTAGAGACAGGGTTTCTCCATATTGGTCAGGCTGGTCTCTAACTCCCGACCTCAGGTGATCCGCCCACCTCGGCCTCCCAAAGTCCTGGGATTACAGGCATGAGCCACCGTGCCCGGCCTGCTTAGCTGTTCTATTCCTGGTCATTCTCTTTCACCTTCCTTCCCTCTACCATTGCTGCATGAAATGAACTCCAAATGGCAATTGGCATTTATCTAGCAGAACATAGAATTAATTCTATTTTTGAAAATTTTGTATTTTTTAAAAAATTAACCTGACGAGGCTGGGTGTGGAGGCTTATGCCAGTAATCCCAGCACTTTGGGAGGCCGAGGCAGGTGGATCAACTGAGGTCAGAAGTTTGAGACCAACCTGGCCAACATGGTAAAACTCCATCTCTACTAAAAATACAAAAATTAGCTGGGTGCGGTGGCACACGCTAATAATCCCAGCTACTTGGGAGGCTGAGGCAGGAGAATCACTTGAACCCGGGAGGCTGAAGTTGCAGTGAGCCAAGATTGTGCCACTGCAGTCCAGCCTGGGCAACAGAGCGAGACGTCATCTCAAATAATAAAAAATAAAAATAAAAATAAAGAAAAATAAATTAACCTGATGATACACTAAATCCTAAGTAATCCAAGCTATATTGAAGATTGAAGGTCTGTCTGCACAAAGACTGTCTTTTATTTTTGTCCCAGTTTCTTACAGGTCCTGGCTTACTAAATGAAGGATGCATGTTGACTCAAGATGTGGAGGCTATTTCCTTTCTTGAAATATTGTCAGTTTTATTTAGATATTCATTATAATGATTCACTTATTGGTTCCCTTAAGTAAATACATTAAAATAAGCAAAATTTTATTTCTAGTTTTTATTAAAAAATTGGGAGTACAATACACTTGATTTCAGTCTAACAAAATATGAACTTATGCTTTTTCTTCCATTGAAAAGTTGATAAGGTAATGGTTAAATATCTGCCAGTGATTTCTTTCTTTTGCCCCCTTTTCTTTCCCTCCTCAAATTTTGTATATGTGTGTATGTTGTCTAGTAACAGTACTTTGAATTTGCGTTGTTTTAATATCTGGGTTTACATATAGCATATGATAAAAATATTTTATCATTTATTTTTATTATATCTATTTCCTTTTCAAGGAGATTTGATTCAGGTTTACATGGTCAAACTTTATATAATGTTACAAATATATATATATATATATATAACACACATATACATGAGTAGAAAGACTATATAACAGGAAAAAATTGATATCATGCTAAAAGAAAAAGAAGGGGATTTTTTTAAAAGATAAAAGTTAGCTGTAGTCAGTCTAAAATGCTACTCTTGGCAAAAGTAGTTTTTCAGAGATAGACTGACGTAATTATGTCTAACTACAGCTACTTACATTTTAACAATTACTTAAGGAAAAAAATTTGCCTTTTAATATTGTATCCTAAAAATAATGTAACAGCACAAAGGCTGAGGTTGTAGAACTGTAATTTACATTTATTGGACTTTACTAAGAAAACACTAGTAGTTTTACAAATTCATCACTGATTATTTTTACATTTAAGTTGCTATTTTTAAAAAGTTGTTCTTTGTGATGTGGTTATAATTTATAACCGCAGACAGTCTCAGTTTTTAAGCTAAAACTATACCTCACCTTCACATATCATTTACATATACTGATTGCTTCCACATGTCTGGCATAAGGTAAAATAGTTTATGAGCATTGTAGTACAGCTAAAGCCACAATGAAATAAAATTCTTCTTGGTCTAGAGTACCTCAGAAACTTAGTCAGCTTGGTGCATAAGTGTTTTCCAAAAGAATTCTGTCTTCCAGAAAAACTCTATAAAATCTGACTGTGGTTAGTGTCACCTCCTTTTCTAATGACGTCTAGATTTCTCAGTCTGGCTTCCAAGTGTCTTCTGTTAGACAAAAGCCCCTTTAAGTTGCTCTCAACATGTTCTTCATTCTATTTACTAGATTCAGACTGCAGGTTTATTTTCTTGAGTGACTGAATATCCTCTTTCCTGCAAATGGGTTATTTGCGATCACAGGTGGTTCACGGAATTAGTCAGCTAGACTCAGACTTTATATCTACGAGGTTTCATTCAGACTCAGAGACATATTAAATAGAAATATTGTGTTAATCCCTATGTGGATTCAATACTCCTTAAGTTGTCATGAAGGATGTTGTGTCTTCATGGACCAAGTCATAACAAAATAATATTCAAGGCAACCATTACGCCATTTTAGAGGATATGTTGTAAGTACAGAAGCAAATAAAACTAGTCATTTCCTGGTTATTTTTACTGAATATTAAATGACTGACTTTAGTTCATGTTGAGAACATAAATTGGAACTTACAGTCTGAGATGCAGCCAATCCTTTCCTGAAGAAACAGGTGCTTCCTTGCTCAGCCTGTCTCAGTAAGTACTCAGATCCAGAAGAACTAATAATCAGGTCTCCTTTCATCCTCACATTAACTTCATGTACACACTCATGTGATTCCAATGAAATTACACTTAAAACAATTACACAAATTACCTTGAATTTATGCTTAACACACTTAAAACTGTGTTAAGCAACAGGTCTACAGTTAAGACATTTAGCTTCACCTAAATGAAGGTGAAAGACTGAAAAACCTAAAGTTAGGTTCATTTTTTTCATCAGTTGTTTACTTGAAACATTACCGTTTTACAAAGCCTCCTCATATCTTCATTGACTAGCAGATATTGACAAATTTCATGTTTTAAGACATTCATGCTATTACGCTACATTTCTTTGAAAGACACACACTACACATAAAATAGTTGTCAATTAGCTTTCATTATTACTTTTAATATAATCTCCAAAGCAAGTAAAAGCTAGAGAATACACACAAGTAAACCACTATGAGGGAGCAAAGCACTGTAATCCAAAACCTAGGCATTACTAATCTGCCTCAAGGAATTAATAGTTATTGAATATCTTCTATGTATCAAGCACTGGTTGGGCACTTTACACCTGTATTTACATTGTCTCTATAACAGCTTCTGAGTGGTAGCTATTCTACCCATATTAAGGAAGAGGAAACTGAAGCTGAAAAATAAAATACCATGCTGCAGTCCTCACACCTAGAAAGCGTCAGAGCCTATTCAATGTTTTTGTCACTAGAATGTTCCTCTTGTCCTTGTGAAATTTTTTTTTCAGTAGCTATGAGTAGCTATGTATGAAAACTCCATTAATTTTCAATAGGCCAACAAGTAGGTACTTGGATACTATAAGCAGAGTATGACCTATCATTCAATAATAAGTAATAACAATGCATATTATCAAATATATTTTTAATCTGAATATATGAAATTTTAAATTGAATATATGAAAAAATACTTTCTGACACCTGTGAAATGACTTAGCAAGGCAGATCAGTGTCTGCTTTGCCCACTTGTGCTTCATCAGACCTAAATGAATTTTCAATAGGCCAACAAGTAGGTACTTGGATACTATGAGCAGAGTATGACCTATCATTCAATAATAAGTAATAATAATGCATATTATCAAATATATTTTTAAATTTAATATATGCTATCATTTTGCACATTCCAAGAAAGTAAAATTTTACCTTTTTGGAAATATAAAAACGCAATAACTCTGGCACAATAGAGACATTCAGCCATGATCTCCTTCTATAAAGAACACTAAATGGTATAAAATACATGGTATGATATGAACAAAAGAGCATTCATTTCTGTGAAAGTGTCCATAGTGTGTGTTATGTGTGATACAGCTCAGTATTATAGACTGAGATTTGTATGAAAGAAATAAATTACTATACCATTACTAATTTCACTTCCTTACATGGAATCTGCTTAAAATAGACTAAACAGATTCTCTCAGTATCAATGTGCTGATGTTTATATAGTTGTGAACAGAAGTATTGTCACAGAGGAGATAGTTTTTCCCTACTTGACAGCTAAAGAGAAAGGCCAGTCAGATAAGTATTAATTTAGGTCTGATGAACCACAAATGGGCAAAGCAGACATTGATCTGCCTTGCTAAGTAATTTCACAGGCGTCAGAACGTTTTTTTTAAAAAAATCATTTAGTCTCATTTTGTTATGTTAGATCTTAAATAGTTGTCTGGAAGAAGGGCTTAAATGACAGAAAAGATGTCTGTATATTAGAATGTGCAAAGGAAACCGTAATCCTGTACTGACTAGGCACCTTGGGAAGTAAAAGAAGTCTGAGACTCTATTGAACACGGGGATCATGTGGTGAAAGTAAGAAACTCTGTAGCTCTGGGCCAGTGCGGGAGAGCCTAGCTTGAGATTGATCTGCTAAAAACAAAAGGTTTCATTTTTGAGGGTTGGAAAGTTTTCCCATATCCCAAAACGAGAATTAACAGGATTTTGTTTTTGAAAGGATAGCATTAAATGAGATTTATTTGGAGAAGTCAAAAGATATAGACTGAAGTACTACCAGGTAAAAAGGTGGGGGTATGGGTAAGGGGAGAAATCCTTTTTTTTTTTGCAATATACTTCAAACCTGGAAAGATAGAAGGCAATTATATTGGGGGAATCTGTGTGCTGATCAGACCCTGCACCCAGCATAACTTTCACTCTGGAGCTTGAAGAAACAGAATAGAAACATTACGTGCATGCCTTTAGAGGCAAGACAAGTACTAAGGTCCAGAGCCAATATAATGAGGAGGCTTAGTGGAAGGGTGGCAGAAAGGAGACTCTTGGTAACTTTTTAAAGTACCAGTGCCCAGAAGAGAGCAGAGAACTTGGTTAGACAGCAACATTGAACAATGGAACGTGCCCTGGGAAGGTCAACCACAAATGACAGATCACAGCCAATCATGAACTGCTTAAGACCTGACACAAAGCAAAGGGAGAGACTGTCTCTCAAGACCTGTGTCCAAATCCTTTATTCTTGTGCTCTAATAACTGGTGTTTTAATTTCAGTAATTCCCAATTAAATGTAAAAAAATTAGAAAAATAACGGTATATGACTTTTCTTGTACTTGAGTATTGTGGATATACACAACACACACATACTAAATATAAACCCATGAATTTATGTATTTCTTTATCTATATACAATTCTTCAAAGTACAAGGAATTATACCATTTTGAACAAAATTCCAGAAGTGACTTTTTTCTGTGTTGCCGGGTACCATGAACCTACAACGTTGTCTAATATATATTATCAAATATTTCCAGACTTGTTGTGAAGACTTTATTCACAACTTGCTGTTGAATTAAAGAAATAATAAGGGGCTGGGTGTGGGTGTGGTGACTCATGCCTGTAATCCCAGCACTTTGGGAGGCCAAGGTGGGCAGATCATCTGAGGTCAGGAGTTCGAGACCAGCCTGGACAACATAGTGAAACACCATCTCTACTAAAAAAATTTAAAAAATAAAAAAAATAAAAAATTAGCCAGGCATGGTGATACATGCCCATAATCCCAGCTACTCAGGAGTCTGAGGCAAGAGAATCACTTAAACCTGGGAGGTGGAGGTTACAGTGAGCAGAGATCACGCCATTGCACTCCAGCCTGGGTGACAAGAGAGAAACTCTGGCAGGAAAAAAAAAAAAAAAAAAAAAGGAAAGAAATAATGAGTTAATTCTAAAAACATGAAGAAACCATCATTATAAATCATTTTATGTTATAGTTTTAAAAACTGATAATAAAAGTGTTTTCTACATCAGATAACCAAAATCAACGTCCTTTTCTTTTTTCCTTTGGTAAGAAATAACCCTGCTTCTGTATTTTGTAGATAAATTCCAAAAAAGAAATAGAGAAGCCCAACTGACTGACCACTCTAGAAGGTCCTCACAAGTAGGTGTCACTTGTCCCTCCTGATCTCACTGTCAGTCAAATATAGACAACCACGTATCAACTCTACTCTATGAAGTTCCTAGCCTGCTATGCTGCAGCTCTAAGTCATATAAATTATTCTAAATATATTGCTGTTTTCCTAAAAAGAAAATCAAATCCAAAGAAATAGTTTCTGATACAGTAGTCACCACTCTTCTCTACTTTTACCTTCTCATATTTGTCCTATCATTCAAGGCCCACCTTCTTTGGGTCCTAGTTTAAAAAGCCACCCTAAAATCTTTAGGTAGATGTGACATCACCTTTCTCAAAAATTCTACAATATTCACTTTATTTATCCAAGAATCTATTCATAAAGAAATCTGACAGATGAGTTATGTGGCTTTATGTGTCTATTTTATACATAGAACGCAAGTAAGAAATAGTTAATAATGGTGCTTTTGTAAATAAAGTTTGCAGAACTTATGAAAACGTACTTTCATTTAAGCTAGTTCTTAAGGGATAATAACAACGGAACAGCATTTATTCTCTTGAAATTCAAAGTTGAAGGTTAAAAGAAAACAAAATTTCTGACCCATATTATGAAGATTCATAAGCACTTTGACAGCTTGATTTGACCTCAGGTGTAAACAACTTTGTTTTAGCTATGCCCAAATACATTTCTAAGAGTTTGGATTACACTTGGATTACACAATCATTTTTCAATACCACTTAATAACTATGATTTGTACATAATAACAATGCTGCTAGTAGTTGTCCCATTGTCCTTTCCTGGCAATATTTCTACCATGTCACAATAACTACATATTTAAAAAAAAAAAAAGAATTTTCCAACGAACATTGTAAGTTCATTTTATTCTAAATACCAATCTATAGATCTATATATAAGTGGCCTAAGGAAATTAGCCTACTATCCTCTCCCACCCTCTCAATCAGTATCTTAAACAAAGAATTCAACATATATTTTTCATGTTCACACTTTAGCAAATATTCCCATGGTATTTCCTATCACATCTACTCTCTTGAGTAAGTCTGAGGATGGAAGTGGATCATACTCTGAGGCTGTGGAACTCAAGGGCAAGGGAAGAAAAAGGATGACTTGGAGATGTAGCTTAGGGAGCAATGAGCAAGTGTTGCTCTTGACAAGTGTAGGAGGGGAAGCAAGAAAGGCTCTGAACTGCTAAATCTCAGCAAGCTGTCAGAGAGCCAAGTCTGGATTCTCCTAAAAGTATGGACAATGAAAAAGAACCAATTGAAATTACTCAAGGATTACACTTACAACTTCATTTGGTAGAACTGATTTGATCTTCACAAACATTCAGATACAATAAGACTGAGAATGGGATACTTTCACTTATCTTTAGCTACTACTTGGTTTTAGAGTAGAAACCTCACTTTCTTTTCTGGCTGTATATACTGTGACCTGATAAGAGGACAAGGAAAATCTGGGTTTTTGTCCAAAGGAATGCAATAATTCCTCAGCCTGGTTCCTGATTCCTAGAGCCTTCCAACATATTTATTGTATGTTTCCTATCTCTTAGCTGCAGACTAACAAATATGACCTGGATATTTTCTGATTCAGTTCTGGAATAGGTGTGGTTCAGAAGGAGATACTGTTTATGGAGATAGTATTACTCTCACAATCCTTTGTGCACTCTTAAATGCCTTGACTGATATCTTCCTGCCCTAGCACCTAACACTAAACTCACTTTCTCTACTATATATTATAATGCACAATTCATTTATAATGAATTGATTTATTGTAAATTTTCATTCTTATTATTTCCAAAAATAATTTTGTTTTATTAACAGGCATATTATTTGTTAATTTTTAAAAGGTGTGCCAAATAAAGCACAAAATCATTCAACAATGAATAATTCTGTGCTAGCCATTGAGAATATAAAGATGAAAAATACTACATACCCAGCCTTTAGAAACTCAGAATCTGGCACAAGATGATTCACATAAGCAGTTTCACAGACTAAATGAGTCAATTGACATATTCAATAGAATGAAACTTCATTTGGCTTGCTGATGAAGACTCCAGTGGGTCATGTTATATTTTATCTAAAGACATGTTTATGATTGCTGCAACGCTTTAAGTTACTCTAAGTTTTGGTCAACATAGTTTCCCACGCCACATTTCTCCAAGCAAGGGAAACCTGGAAATGCAGGTTTAATGACTCATTCAGGAGATGACAAGATTCCTTAAAATGTGTGGTTCCTTTAAATTTTACCCTAAGCTTGTAAAAACTCCCAAGACCAAACTATTCTTCATATTTATCAACAGGATTTTATTTTTGCTTATCTTCATTCCCCAATTCAAGTATAAATTGTATATTTCCTTATCCTGGGTTTGACAGACTCCAGCTTTGTTACTGTTTGGAAATAGTGTGTGGATTGCCTATTTATACTGATGTTTATGTCTTGGCAATAGTGGGAGATAGTAGCTGGAGACATTCATACTTATTTGTGTCAGATAGAATTTATTGATTCTTCTATATGCTTAATTAAGATAACAGTGTTAAAGAA
Source organism: Homo sapiens (assembly GCF_000001405.40). Classification (NCBI taxonomy): domain Eukaryota; kingdom Metazoa; phylum Chordata; class Mammalia; order Primates; family Hominidae; genus Homo; species Homo sapiens. Next base: position 84,188,479 of record NC_000007.14, read on the forward strand.
CCTACAGATTAAAAGGAGTCAGTCTTTTAAAAATATACCAAATGCCATTTTCTTAACATTATTTTACTTTTTCAACTACCTACTCTCCAACTATAAATGGCTGTAATAATGTGCCACAGGCAGGCTACTTCATTCTTGGTAAGCACACATCATATAATATGTGATACTTAATATATACAGGCACATGAATCTCTGCTTCCATCATTCTAATTGTTTAGTACCATTGTTTCATTCACTATTTTGTTTTACATTTTACAGATTAATTTCACATATCAAGCCTTATTTAAGTTTAAATGTATGTATTTGCTTTTTACTTAGAAATATTTAGTTTTTCAGGATCAAAATGTACCAATAAATGCATGCAAAGAGCACATCAATATCTTTAGCAAATTTCATTTTAAGTAATTCTTCTGTTTTGTGAATGTTAAATTTCATGACTATTATGCCAATTTTTCCAAACTTGGTCTGCACACCTTATTCTGTGCATATTTACCCTAGTAGCCTGCCCATTTCCAAATTAATGAAAGAGCTGTCACAAATTGCTAGTGCCACCTATTAGTGGAAGCATAGAACTGCAAATCATGGTAATTCCTTTATATAGTGCATTAGAAATCATGAGGGGTAAAAGTCATCCCAAGAATCACACTTGTTCTAATGTATGTTTACAACTGCTGGTCTTTTTAAAATAAACCTTCACTACAAGTGCAAAACTTATTTCAATACTGTCATGAGTTTTGGAGATTTTACCTCTATAACTTTGTAGCAATGAATTATTTATCACATATTACTTTTTCATAAAGGTTTGACAAGAGCAATGTCTTAGTTGATTAATATGTAACTCTGTAATATCATGACTTTGTAAATAGAAGTTGTTGGATAATGATCAATTCAAAATTTATATCACTATTAGTCATTTTGGAAGATTTTGTAAAAATCAGATTAAACATTATTCAAAATAATCCTGACTTTAGATTTTGAAATTCTTCAAAAGTTGTGAAGGTGTGGTATTTTGACTTTTGGAGCTATGATACAAAGGTGTGTCACTGGAGTTAAAATGAGAAAAATTGGGATAATTTAAAATACACAATTTCTTACAGGCAACTTAAAATTCATGATAACTTTAAAATGCAAGTTTCTTAAAATGCAAACCTGAAAACATGATAGAAAATTTAATGCCCTATACAATTATTTATTCACATTAAGCATAATAGCCTCCATAACAACAATTTAACATTAATTTTTATTACTAGGAACATATGCAATCATATTAATTAACTCTAATTAAACGTATTCCTGAAAGATCCATGAAATACATTAAATCTTTACTATAGAATTTAAGTATAATTGACCCCAAATTATAATACATGATTTATATAATAATTAAAATCAGAAAATAAAGGAAAATTAGATATCACAGATCAATATATCTGTTTAGTTTGCTAATATTTTAGTAAACTACGTATTTCATGTCACTGACAATAGTAGAACTCTAGAAATCAGTCACATGAAGAGAAAAAAACCCTAAAAAGTTAGAATTGGGAAAATTATCTATTCAGTATTCATATTTATTTAAGTTGTTAGTGACTGAATATCATTATTAAAGCTGGTGAGTTAGAGGCTTACATGAATTTGTTTTGCGGTCTCAGTTATTTTCTTGATTGCTAAAGTCTACACTGTATAAATTCTTTCAAAGGTCAATCTGGTTGTCAGCTTTAAGCAGAGAATCCACAAATTGGAGATTTTTACAAGCCCTCATCTGATCTGACCAGCATTGAATCACAAGATGTGTGACTAAGTGTTTTATTTTATGTTCATTTTACATTATTTGCCAGGGTATACTTGTTGAATAGATGAATAAAAAGTTCTAGTTTTCAGTGTGTTTAAATTCAAGATTTCAGCATCAAAACATGATTTATAAGGTTAATAGAATTTGAGAAGAAAAGGTCATCCAAAGTCCTGGTGACAAATATACAGTGAGTATTTGAGAAAAGTCATTGCAAATAATTGATAACTTCTTTGCTCTATGCATGTGTGTATGTATGTGTGTGAGTGTGTGGGTATGTCTTCCCCCCACAACTCCCACATATGTTTCCTAAAAACATTCCATTTTAGCTGTGAGCAGATTTTTAGGGTAAGACTAGCCCTATCTTATACTATTATGTGAATGTTCAGGACATCCATGAAAACTTTTCATGGGACACAAAAGACAACACCCACTCTATTATTTATATATATATATGTATATATATAATATATATACACACACACATATATATAATTTAAAATATCAATGTCATTTTAAACCAACAATTTACGAAGAATTGTATTGTGATTCAGAACTTGTAGATTGCTGAGGTTATTTTCACAATTATAAAATGAAGTTATTTTCTGAATTATAAAATCATAAAATGAAGTTATATTTCCTATGTATTGAAATATATGGTATATGTATACCTATGTGTACACATAAATGTATTGGTATATACACACACACACACACACACACAAATACTGCTCTGGTGAAAGTAAAGAAAATCTTAAAGGAAAGACAAGAAGTTTAATTAGAAAATCATTCATATTAATTAATTTTTGAACTAATTGTAATTTATTGAACAAAAGGTAAAGAACTTTTGCAAATTTTACCTCAGAAATTTTAACTAAATAAAATGATCTTCTCTTGTCACACATATACATATGAGAATTTTTATTTAATTGATAACCTCATTCTTATAATAATACCTTGACTCTGAAAAAAAAAAAAAACAACTTTAGAAAATAGAAAAAAGAAAGCTTTCAGAAGGCCTACCACTTTTTAAAGTGCTATTTACTAAGTCCTTCCTATGAAGTTAAGGTTAAAATCATTGATTTAACCTTTGGATTCACAGGATCACCATCACATTGAGACTTGCATGTGTCTTTGATTTCTACCAAAACTGAAGCACATAGTGTCCTGGAATAGCCCCTTACATTGGATGATGGAATATTTGTCATTTGTTTAAAACCCAAACCCTAATTATTTTCTTGTGATTCATGCAGGTTTTTCTGAAGACTTCATTGTATCACATATCCCAAATGGAAGATTATATGATTTTCCTGTATTTCATGAGAAAAGTGAAATTTGACTAGTTTTGTAGAAGAAATAAACATTTATGCATGGACCACTTTTTAAAAGAAGGATTTTACCATTTAGCTATATTACATATATTTAAAGAAGACAAAAGTATTTCTGAGTAAATGTTTCTTAAGGATAATTTCTATGTAACTGCTGAGATTTACAGAGTTCTCACATTTTCTTCCCCCATAAGGATTCTAAATCAAATTGGTTCAGAGGAAAAGCCAGCATACCCCATTTTTCTAATATTATCACTTCTCCAGATGGTCCTGAACACATCTATTCAATTCCTTTTTCCTAGAAAGTAAAGAGGTATCTTATTAGATATGTACACCCGCTACAAAGGCCACTTTCCTGTTTTTACTTCTTTTTAACATGTCAAGTCTCTTTCATCTCCTACCAGGCAAAAATGATAAGTAGAAAGTAAGCACAGTGATTGCCAGAAACTTCATCTTGGCAACCTGAGCAATGAGAGAGTTAATGGTGGATCTTTGAAAACAAGTGACCATGGGAAATTAAGGTTGGCAGGGATTTAACTCTTCATGAATCATGCTGGAATATTTTTAAGGGCAATGCAGTGGATGTTTTAACTGTGTTTGACATCTAATTAAGGAGAAACAAGAAGTAGCTTTAAAAAAATCTCTATTGTACTTTAGAAACAAAGTACTGGCAATTGGCTACCACATACTTGCTTTGGCCAAACAAACGTACATGTAGAGACAAAAAGGTAATGACAGATTAATAAAATAACAGAAAAAAATTTCCTCAGGCCATTCCTTTTATTCTTCTTCCTGTTGTTCATTTCACAGTTTATTTTACCAAATTATTAAGCTCTAGGTGTATCAATGGGATTGTTATGTAGCTGTAAAGCAGTTTTTTACTTAAAGGAAAGCAGAATAATTCTAATGGATGCCATCACTAAAACAAGGCTTATAAAGACAATATCAAATATATACACCTTGCTAATATATACTGCTTGCTTCATCAGATAGGTTTAAGGCATATGTGTACAACAAAGGATATTCAAATTAAATGTAATATTTTTAATGTACAGAAAGAACAAGTGCCTCCTCTATCATGGAGAGTAACCTATTATCATGGAAATAAAATTCTTGCAAAATAAAAAAGTTTAATTCCCTATTTTTATTTTATTTTAAAATGAATTTAGCACTTAGATATATTCAAGCCTAGCAGATTTTTAAAATATATATCATGATTTTAAACTTGTTAAACTAAAAGTATTACAAATAGCCAGTCACATCTTTGAGAACTAAAGTTGCATGTAAAACTTATAGGGAACATAAACTTGGATAAAGTGGACCATCAACTTAGACTTATTTGATGTCACCTTGTCAAGGAGTGAAAACAGAAAGCAAAACTGATAAAAACACAGACACCATAATATCATATACTATGGAAATAATTTAAAGACAGTTACTAAATTAATTAAATAACGCTACATGATTTTTTAAAACTTACATAAGTACAATTGCACTTCTGTTTGTTGATGTTTAAGTCTCTATTCCCAACTTGATACTCAGGAAAACATTACACCAAAAAGTAAATAGATATTCTAATTCAATGCATTTCATTTAACGAGCACTAAGTCCAAAGAAACACATTACTAGGTGTTTAATTTTCTAATTCAAAGTGTGAAAATTACATCTCTCTTCTGATTTGAGATCCTCATTCACACTAGGGCATTCAGAAAAAGATGTTCCCCATCATATGAGAATTAAAGAATATGTTTTGTGGCATAAGAGCAAGGTACAGTAGACAGACATCTCTACAAATACCTTCAATAATTTTTATTTTAACTTATAGGCTAAAAAATAAGCTTAATTAGAGCTTCTCACTGCTCCACCCCCAATTTTAGAAATCTGAGAATCATAAGAAATCAACACCTTAGGGAGTAAAACTACTTGAGTTAAAACAGTTTAATCTTCAACTCCATTTTAATAATACCTGAGTTATAGAAAGATTTACTGCCACTAAATGTATGTATATCATTTTGGGCTCTACTTTAGCATTACTTTACACATCATCTATCTATAAGACCTATCTAAGCAAATGTGGAACAAACATAAAAAATCCTCAATAAAAATAAGCACATACATTAAATTGTAACCAAATAAAGCACTAGTGATAAAGCTCTTTTTTCTCTCTTTAATTTATACTTTTCAAAAGAGAAGTTTACACAACTACCTATGCAAGCAGACAGTAATGTGTCTGCAGTTCTCACTGAAGTACATATAGAATTAAATAACATAATATTTCAAAGACTTTAGCTTTACACAATTAGCCAAATACAGTCTTTTGTACAATCATAAGGCACTGTGGAAAAACTAGTCTGTTCCATCCAGTTTATGTTCTCTTGGCAAACCATGATCTACTGCTTATGTTAAGCATCTGATTGTCAGATTTGAACAAACTGAATATTCATGATGACGATTAACCATTTCATGTCTAAAACTAAGAAAATGCAATTCATCATAGTAATTATAGGTAAGGCATGCACATCTACAAAGAGACCATTTTTGCATTTCTATTTTTAAGAAAATATTTTAATAGAATTAAAGTCGGAAAAATTAACAGGCATAAGATAGGATAATAAGATATACAGATCAGCGTGTACCAGGCATACAGCTCTTTTCAGCAAATGTGATTAAATGTTCTTTGTTTGCATTTAAGTTGTCATATATCAAACAGAAGACATGCTTTTTACAAAAAGCGTTTAAAGCATCTCAGAAAGATACACATAATCACGTCGGTTTACCAGGTTAAACTAAAGGTTTGATGATTTGGGGTTGGGAGGGAGTTCAAGGAATTAAGGGGGGGGGCGGTTATTACAAAGCTAACCAAATAAAAGAAAAATAAGATTTACCTTTGTAGGATAATTTCAGCCTTGGCACATTGTTCTTCCCATTCTGATAGTTTGCTCTTGCTGTAAGTAATACTCCCCAGAAAAGACAGACAATCCTAGTTAACCAGCCCATGCTGCAGACGCTGTAGGTCCCTTTGCTGCTTTAGTCTTCCTTCCTGTATTGTGCGGCCAGAGAAGTTCAAACAATCTGGAAACTGGAGGTAACAGGTGATTTAGGTCAGTTTCATTCATAAATGCAGACAATCAAGACCTCATGGCAACACTAACACCTCTTCTTCTGTAACAGTCACTGAAGCACAGAAACTTCAAACCCTCCAAAAAGAAAAAAAAAAAAAAAAATTCCGAGCCAGGCACCGGATAATGAGGCACAACTGTTGTGTGGAAAGAAAAAAAAAAAAAATTAACAAGGTCTGCTGCAGTGGTGCTTAAGAAGCAGTTCCTTTTATCTAAGCTCCTCTGATAGCCGGTGGCAGTCTCTAATCCTGCTCCCTGCTTCATTCGGCTCCGGGGAAGCAGAATGAAAGGGAAACAGAGAGAGAGAGAGAGAGAAAGAGAGAGAGAGAGAGAGAGAGAGAGAGAAACCGTGAGCAGCGCGGACTTTTCCTGTACGCATGTAGAGGGAGATGACACAAGATCCCACAGACAGGTTTCCCCAACACTCACTAGACTGGCTGACAATGGGAGAACAGGCGAGCTCAACCTACTCCCCTTCCCTCCTGTCACACAACACATGCAAAAAACATCTCGTAGAGATTAGAGCCGGGAGCAGAACCCTCAGGCGTGCCTGTGAAAGGCATGTAGCTATAAATTTACTTCCCAAGGCAAGCGTTGTTTTATAGCCATTTTTGGGTGCAATTTTGATTTTAAAAATCTGAATTCTGCTACCTACAAAATTTACAATTCATGCTCATTATACAATCCTGCTGAACTTGTGCATTGTATGTGTGCGTGTGTGTGTGTGTGTGTGTGTGTGTGTCTATATATCCTCATCAATACAACTTTAACCACTGAAGGTTTTAAAGCCTTGTTAGAGATCATTCCCTCCTCCCAACAAACCCCCTGGGCTCAACCACCCCCTTCCTCTGTCCCACTGCAATTTCAGGGAAGAAATTCCTACTAAAGCCCATTCCAACAATCAGTTCAAGACAAATATAGGTCCTTTGAGAATTATAAATTACAACGGGGGATTCTCAAAAGGATACTCAGAATTTAAAAACGTCTATGGTTTTCCAGCTTCTGGAATGCTCTGGCTAACATTTTCAATGCATCACATCTCATTAATTAAAGACACTTCCCTAGTTTTGGTTTAAAGGGCAGCGGAAGATGACAAAGTTCACAAAAGTCCCTGCTGAGTGTCAAGGAGTAACATGAAAAGAATATCTCTGTGTCTTCATGAGCTGCTGAAGGGTTACTAAATTTTCTGTGGGACGTATAGGCATGTATTCAGGCAGTCATATGAACACCATTAGTTCCTTCTGAAACAAGTAGTTGGCTGTGGCCTCTCAATTTTCTCTCTTATTTTTCATTCAGTTTTCCTCAAAGCTGATATTTTTACAAGAATCTTTAGGGGATGTATAAAAAAGTTAACAGGACAGAACTTTCTCTCCTTTATTCCCCAAATGATTCTGCCCTACCCCCTCCTACCACCACTCCCCACCCCCCACCTCCAGAACAGCACTTGGAATCCAGAGACTCAACTTCAATAGTAGGGAAACTTCTTGGCTGAAGGGAGAGAGTGAGTCTCACAATTAAAAACATAAACACCTACTGAAAGTGGCTTAGTATTCTTAAGAAAATGATCTAAGCATTGTCACTACAGCTTTCATTACTTAATGTCCACAGACCAATAGAGAAAGCACAGCGCTCGCTCGCTCTGCTTTCTCTCTCTCTCTCTCTCTCTCTCTCTCTGTCTCTCCCTCTCTGCCGTTGGATGTGTGGCTTGTGTGAATGTAGGTGGAGAAGGAGGAAGAGGAGGATTTAAAGAGGGGGAGAATGGGGAAAAGGGAGTAGGAATTCTCTCTCTACTTCACTAGATTGACTCATCAAACAGATCTTATTGTATTTGTCAGTTTCCTCAAGCCTATTGATCAGCCAGTATTGTTAAGAAAATAAAATCCAAAAATAATGTTGATTTTACTGATTCCCACACTTGTTATACTAGGCACTTTCACGCTCTAGGCAATGGATTAAGGCTACAAATGACAAGAGGCTTGTCTGTCTTCCATGGATTACTCTCTATAGACATTCATTCTGCAGAGGAATTCATGTCGCTTTGGGATTATTTCAAGGATTGGACTAATGAATTATCCTATTGAAATCTCACATATAATTAGTTTAAATGCTTTAAGTAGTTTTACCATTTTCATTAGTATATATTTTATATGTCTTAAAATATATTTATATTTTTACTCTTGTTTTCTAGAATAGAAGAGCAAGTTTTTGTCAAAACTAAACAGGATAATAAAATTTATAAGTGTATCCATTTCACCTGTGTAATGTCTAATCCTAAAACATTTTTATATGCTCCAAATAAAACAAAAGGCTGTAAGTAAATTTAGATAAAAGAGGGTCAAAAATGGCTCCATGGGGGAAGAAAAACATAAAATCTGGATTTTGAACCACAAAATCAGGACAAAGTTATTTCATTTCATAAAATGAATAATTTAAATTAATGTTGACACATGGAAGTTGGTAGCACAGACACCTCCATATACACACGATTTTTTATAAACTATGATATGATTATTTATATTTGATATTTTTCTTATCCTCCAAATTATTTATGATCTTCCTGTTTTTCCAGATGTTTAAAAGTTTCATAGGTTTGCATTTATATTTGCTTTTCTGCAGATTTTTTATTTAAGAAATGTAAAAATAGTATATTCTTCAGGCAAACTAACTGTCCTAGACTGATTAAATTATAAAATACTAGAAATGTCTGGCCACACACAGATAATTCAAATGTTAAATAAAAAATGAAAGAAGAAAGTAAATGCCTGAAAAACACTCACAAAAGCATTTGGAATATTATATTTCTACTGCCTTCTCATTCGACTTTGCTCAGAGTTGAATAAAATTGTTTAACTTTTTTTTTCTTAATATCCCCAAATACCTGAGGATAATCAAACTTCAACTTATTTCTCAACTAAAGTAGAAGCAAGGTATGGGTGGACCTGGATGGGCGGTGTCAGAATCTATCGGAATCTGGCTGCATGTGTACAATGCAGATTTTAATCCACTCCTCCAAAGATCACTCTTTTTTTTTTTTTTTTTTTTTTTTTTTGAGACGGAGTCTCGCTCCGTCCCCCAGGCTGGAGTGCAGTGGCGCGATCTCGGCTTACTGCAACCTCGGCCTCCCGGGTTCAAGTAATTCTCCCGTCTCAGCCTCCCGAGTAGCTGGGACTACAGGCACACGCCGCCACGCCCAGCTAATTTTTTGTATTTTAGTAGAGACGGAGTTTCACCGTGTTGCCCAGGCTGTTCTCAAACTCCTGAACTCAGGCAATCTGCCGGCCTCCGCCTCCCATAGTGGTAGGATTACAGGCGTGAGCCCCCGAGCCCGGCCAGATCACTCCTTACTCTGAGAATCTGTGGCCTAAATTCTGAAATTAGAAAACTTACTGTATTTGACACCATACACCATAACCATTGATTTTATTTTACTGTATCACTTACTACTTTTTAAAAGTCACAAATATTATATTGGCCTTTTTTTATTTTTTTATTTTATTTTTTGTGGAGACGGAGTTTTGCTCTTGTTGCCCAGGCTGGAGTGCAGTGGCACGATCTCGACTCACCGCAACCTCCACCTCCTGGTTTCAAGTAATTCTCCTGCCTCAGCCTCCCGAGTAGCTGGGATTACAGGCAACTGCCACCACAGCCAGCTAATTGTATTTTTAGTAGAGACAGGGTTTCACCATGTTGGTCAGGCTGGCCAGGTTGGTCTCAAACTCCTGAACTCAAATGATCCACCCACCTCAGCCTCCCAAAGTGCTGGGATTACAGGCATGAGCCACTGTGCCCGGCCTTATATTGGCCTTTTAACATTGAATTTTATTTAAGGTATAAGTGAAATATTCTTATTTATTTCTTCCTCTAAGTAGCCTATTTTCAATTATTTTCTAACCCACAATTTACATAGTGTACTATATGTAACTGTATTTGTAATTGAGTGTCTAATATGTTCTAACAATTCGAGCTTTCAAATATGATTAACTCCTGCCGTGGAGTTACATTTCAGCAGGTGCTTAATAGGATGATCATGCTGTTGTATACTTTTCTGTCAAATAGATCAGTAGTTTTTAACCTCACCTCCCTCTGTACTGGGAAAGAGTGCTAAAATTTTTGACAGTGGCAACTTTCTGGATGGTGTGCTTGATTTTCTAGAGGATCAACACTTCCCATTTCACAACAGGTTAGTTAACTTGTTTTTCAGTAAAGACCTCTGTAGTCATAGAAGATACGTATTAAAGTATTTACACATTGGCTATGTATTTTTTATCTTTTCAGGTATTGGATGAAACCAATGTGTCTAATTTTAAAATGTTCCCTCTCTATATTTTGCTATTATTGAAACAAATTTGGATAATAATAAACACTGTAATTTAAGAGCAGCGCTGTTTCCTAATTTGTGAGATAGCCGTCTAAGTACTTTCCTTGGTTATACATACCCTGAATCTCTCTGTGAATGGTTAGGTAGAAATACTAGCTGTATTTGTCCAGAAAAGAATATAAGGAGAAATTGTGTTTTAGATGTATTTCAAAGATTTAGTGGACAAAATGTACCTGAAGTTAGGATGCACTTGATTAAATAACCTCACCTCTTTCTGCAAATCACCTTCCATACCCATTTCATTGTGATCAGATACAGGAAATCCCCAAAAGTGTGCCACCCTCAGAAGCAGATGACCTCTTTAAAGGAAATTACTAAGTTGGGAATTTTTAAATGAGTTAGTTAATCTGTTCTTCTAAGAAATAACACCAAAGAGGAAACCAGTACTAAAAACACAAATTTTAGTATTCTTGGCAAGGTGTTTTTCAATTGAGACATGTAAAAAACATATTGTTTCTCAATCAACATCTGTTATTTCCGTTTTTTTTTTTCTTCAAGGAACGCTTCATTAGTATTTGAGAAAGGCTTACAATCAACAGAATTTCAGCAAATGTCATACTCAAACATTTGCCTTGCTCTGACTTCTGATGTTGGAAATTCATTTTTAATGAAGGTTTTTCTATACAAGAAATTTGAACCTTTCTTTTTTCTAAAAAAGAATTCTGTGGGTGAAAAAATTCTTTAGACGATCAGAAGACACTCTATTAATTGGAGAAAATAAATAGTTGATGTATTATTCATTCTAGCCAAAAATGATAGTGATTTAGGAACTACTGTAGTTGTTGCTGGAAACCGGGGGTGGCAGGTTAAAAGCAATGTTTAAGAAATTAAGTTAAACTTTTTAGAATCTGACCCTTATGAATGCTTTCAGTATAAGCAACATGTGAAAGCATGAGTTGAGAGAAGGAATTGATAAAATGCAAAGAGAATTCAATCTGTAGGGAAGCATTAACTCTTCCCTCTCCCTTTGACTCTCCCACCCCTCCATGCCCTGACCCACCCTCATCATGAATAGTGATTTCAGTAAAAGAAGCTCTTCCTTCCCCTGGACTGAATTTGTAACAGTTGGGGGAAAAAAAAAAAGTTTTGTGTTTTCCTGTTTTCTTTTGCAATATTAATGTTTATGATACTTTAAGGTAAATAAGGACTCAGAACATAAAAATATTCCTTGTTTTTCAAATGAATTGATGTGATAAGTCTTAATATTAAAACAATACAGAAGGAGACCAGAAACTGTTCAGATAGTCATTAATGATGGCGGTAGAGTGGAAGAAAATCCTAGACAATTCAGGGAAAGTCTTCTAGCGGTAAACTGTCTTTTCCCTGAGAGTTTGAGTAATGGAGCCAGTAGGTGAATTTTATTAGGTTGGTAAGTTTGAGTGGAGGATGAAAGAGAGTGACAAGAGAAGGGATGCATAAAATTTCATAAGTTATGGTTAGTATCCCACTTGCCAAATGTAGCTAAAATACGGTTATAGAAATGATTTATCACTTCTATGGTCTCTCTTTTCTTTTGTCTTCTTAAATTCAACACATTTTTAACATTTCAGAATGTTTCAAAGTGGCATTTTCTCTTTGCCATTTCTATCTGCTTAAGGGTCTTGTCATCACTACAGCTACTTTGTGAGATTATCTGAAGAATGAATGCAGTGTTCCTGAATATTAATATATTAAAAGCAGTGAAACACTGAAAATACCTGGGTTTTTTTTCCTTTTTTTTTTTTTTTAAGTGAGAGTCTCCACCTCAACTCAAATGGAACAAGAAAGTTTTCAAGTGAGACAAAAATCCCATTGTTAATACTGATCAGTACAGGCTAGGCAGTGAGGAGGAAAAAATGAGGCATCTGTGGAATACAAATGAAATGAGCAGGTTGGCTATCGGGTGTTTCAGGATATTAACTTATTAGCTGTTTGCTTTCAGTAAAGGCATATCACACACATTTTCACTGAATAAATAAATAAATAAGTCGGTCTACACTAAATAAACAAAGTGAAGAGACTAAGCAATATGGTTTAAAGGATTACTTTACATCTGACTCACGCAAAGCAGATGCATAGAGTTCCCCTTTGTTATCCACTGAAAAAGAATGTTGCACCTCAGATGTAAGTTTATTACAATCTCTATGGCCTAGGAAGAGGACTTTTTTCTTTGTCTTAAATGTTTTTAATGAGCTTGAAGCTGGTAAGAATAAAGAACAGGAATGCTGAAACCTAGAATTAAAGCTCCTTAAAAGGGTTTATTATAATGGCAAAATCAACTGTTTGGTAAATGGTGATTCAAAATCTACAGTGCATTCTGCTTTTTAAGGGCACAGATTTCTGTAAGTTGCAATAGTTAGAAAAAAAATGACTTCAATTATTTTTATTCCATATTGTCTGAAGTGTAAAACATCATTTGATCCAGTTTATGCTTCTTTCCCCGCCCCCCAATGTGTAGAGTAGCATTATATTCCAGGTTTAATTTCACTGCCTTGGCTACAAAAGCAGCTGTCACCTTATGGAGGAGATTAGAAAATGCCTTGTTTATTAGTTAACAATGTTTTTATTATTGACAATAATGTGTTTTTAAAAATTCCATGTTTTTCTTAGAGCATATCCATAGAACTAATCTCTTTGAAAATCAATCAACATAAATTCATTTTCCTTTTCCTGTTGTATCAAACAGAACAGAAATAACATCCAATATGTCTAACTTTGAATCTTCTTAAATTACAGATTCAAGGTGAAAAAGTTTGACTTGAGGACTTAAGTGACAATGTGAGTATTCCCTTGGTTGATTTTTTAAAGTTGATACATAACTTTGGTGACTTAAAGCACTTTAAAGATCCCCAAACATCTAATTAAAGTTTATAATCTTCCTTTTGAGACAAAAACGATGTTCTCCCAATGCAATTGTGTTCTCACATACACTTTGCCATCTCAACTAAAGCTTTATCAGTGAACTGTCACAATGTGCTGATTATACATGAGGAAAACAAATTTATTTTTTTATCCTATGATTTAAAACAATGAGTGTAGTTCTCATTGTGTAACTTTGTTGAAATGATATTTGATATTTTTGATAGAATTGTACAACATGGCAACTATAGTTTGCAATATATTGAATTCTAGAAAAATGCTAAGAGAGTGAATGTAAAGTGTTCTCACCACAAAAGTGATAACTATGGGAGGAAATGCATATGCTAATTAGCTAGATTAAGTCATTCCACATTGCATACATGCTTTAAAACAATATGTCCTATACAGTTAATACATCCAATTTTATTGTCAATTTTAAAAATAATAAATAATAATCTGATATTTTAGTGGTCTAATTTCATCTATTAAATATTCACTGCACATTTACTGATGCTGTGAAGCCTCTTTCTATTCTGTTAAATCAAAATTGCAATCACTTATGGAAATAGGAAAACTGAAATTGAACAAACCAAGTTAATGTGGTAGTCTCTTTCTTGGGCTGTTGACATGACTTGGTAGGTGCTTGCCACAGTGTGCAATCCAGCGCACTTAATTTGTTTCCAGAGAAATAATTTCAAATATACTCTTTCTCTACCCTCAAAACTGGTAACCATTGAAAACATTTTACTTATCACATACCTTGCATTGTTTCCTTTATATTTATCCATTCATTCAACAAAATTTTGAGATATGTTTAGGCGCCAGTCTTTGTGACTTACAAAACTAATCACAGGTTATTTTTTTAGGATACAGATGTATATTCCTAGTCATGAATGTCCTAATGCCAATTTATCTCTTTTTTCCCTGCCCCAAGTTATATAAACCATCTATAAATCTTTCTGTATCTATTTTGGCATAATGTGCTTAATTTTTTAATACATCTATACTGTTATACTCATTTCATTAATTCCTGTGTTGTTTTTCATCCCTTCTAGTAATATCTTCTCTATTCTTCTAGAAGACTCTAGCTGATGACAGATTGTCTACATATTTTGTTGGATTACTCATGATTAAGGGCTATTGTATTCCCCTAAAGCTAATCTGCCTACAGTTTGCATTAGGGACTCAGGATATAAGATTTTGCATTAGGGACTCAGTATATAGGATTACTTTATATATTTTTGAAAAAGCCTTGCATAATACATCACAATATTTTGCAAGTATTCTAGGAGCTCCTTCTTCCTATGTTTCTACGGTGTTGAGTGCATTTATCTATTATAGTTCCTATTGCTTTGTATCACATTTCCTCAGTGGACTCTAAATTCAAAGGGAAGAGAAGCCTTTTTTTTTCTTATTTTATTTTTAATGCTCAGCATAGAATTTGGCACAGAATAAAGCCTATCCTATTAATTAATGGATTAATTAATTAGTCAAGGGAAATGTATACTAATTAAAATATTATGTTCAGAAATCTCCTAGTTTTAACAGTTTTGTAGAAAGTATTTCTTTGTGTGTGTGTATATATATATATATATATATATATTTTTTTTTTTTTTTTTTTTCTGAGATAGAGTTTCACTCTTGTTGCCCAGGCTGGAGTGCAATGACACAATCTCGGCTCACTGCAACCTCTGTCTCCCAGGTTTAGGCAATTCTCCTGCCTCAGCCTCCCAAGTAGCAGGGATTACAGGTGTGTGCCACCACACCTAACTAATTTTTTAAATTTTAGTAGGGAGGGGGTTCACTAAGTTAGTCAGTCTGGTCTCGAACTCCTGACCGCAGGTGATCCAACCGCCCCAGCCTCCCAAAGTGCTGGGATTACAGGAGTGAGCCACAACACCTGGCCTCTTTGTAGATATAATTGCACTAGTTGTTCATGCTTTTATGTTAAGCATGTATTGGAGTGTAGGCCATGGCATTAGAGAGAATTCTAAAATGCTGCTAAAATAACTACATTATAGTTCACAAAACAAAATATGTTTAGTTTCTCCTTCAAAACATAGGAAATTTCATTGTTATTAACTTTTATACAATTATATATCTCTTTTGAGATTAAAGACTCCTCTTCAGATTTACTATAGCCGGCGGACTATCACAGTATGTTACTCATATAGATAATAATCAAAATGAGTATTCTACAGTGTTTCTAAATGTGTAGTGTCTCCCAATGGTAATATTCTATTTTTTTAATTTAAAAATTAAGAACGATGGCTGTGAAACTCTCAAGAAATAAAGCACCACAATTGTGAAAATTCATGTATTATATAAGACAGAACATCTGGATTTAAGTCATAAGATCATAATTTGTAGCAATATAATATAAATGTCAGTTTATTTGTCTAGAAAGCAGTTGATCACCCCCTTTTCCCATCATGGCTGTCAAATGGGATATATTTTTTTATTGCCAAATACAAGGACATCGAGGATCCCACATTCCCTGACACTGTGGAGTCGGATTTTGCAGTCAAAGAGTTTGGGTAAGCTTCTGGGCATCAGAATTGAACATGGGGCATGAGAATATCATGTAGATACTGGGGAGAAAAATTAGTGACTCCGAAATGCCCTTTAGGAGAAACAGGAGGCAACTTCTTGAGAATCACTTGCCATAGGTACCACAAAGGCTAAATGAAAGAGAGGAGGATCTAGGCTCTTATTAATTTTATGGTTTGAAAAGTTGCCCTTTAAGTATTACATGATACATTTTAAATGTGCTAAATTTATATATCAAACGCAGTAGGTTTGACCATGAAGAATCAGATCATGTGTATTAAAATGTGAAGATTGGAGAGGGCAGTAGTAAGCAGAGAAACCATGACTTAGACTAACAAGTATGAGGTTGCCTTTGCTAATCAGCCCTGCAACTGTAGGCAGCTGCAAATTGAAAGAGAGCAACGTTTCACCACTTCACAAATTGCTGGTGACTCACTTGGCCAGATGTGCATTTGAGATCCTCCATCTTTTGTGGCTTGCACAGAAAGAATCGTATCTTTTATGGTAAATCAAGCCTTAAATTATTAGAAGACCCATTACTAGTACTAAATCCTCAACATGTGAGTGAGTTTTAATAACCTAAGTCACAAACTGCATGAGTTAGTGAGTATTTACATTTCAGAGCAAATTATTTTCCCAGATAAGTGTCATAGTTAACTTTAGGAAGCAGAGAAGTTAAGGTCAACAGGTGAAACACCTGTACAATTATTATGGGAATATCTCCTGCTACTATTTATATTTCAAGTCATTACATCTCATAGGTCAATAGCACTCTTTACTATTTTAACTACTCAACAAGTTTTGTTTCATGCTGTTTTCAGAACACTAGGGAATCCTGATTGGCTGGTAAATAAGTTAATTTTCCATTCTGGTGGAATTTTTACTATAATAGTTTCAACAGGAACATTCTCTCTTTACTTTTGGTATCATTGTTAAAATACCTTGGCAAAAACATGGCAATGATTACAGTTATGCAACTATCTTTTAACAGTTTCTCAGATCTGCAAATAGACACTGACAAAAATATCATTTAAATTCATAAGATGAATTCTTACAGATATCTAAATTTATAAAACAATTCATGTCCATATTTATTTTTTCATAATAATTTCCAGAAGTCTAGAAACAGTATAAAGTTAAGCATGAAAATATAATTGCCACAATCTGAATAGAATTACAATTCCTATGCATAAGTGTCAATCCATGGCAAAATTCCTAGATTTATTAGCTATAAGTAGTGTGATATATTCAGTAGACTTTAAAGAATCATGTTTTATAACACTATCCAGAATTTTGAAAGTTCATTCCTATTGTAGTCCCTCAAAAATACTGTTTCAAATGTATTCAACAGTACTTTCAAATGTGAATTCAATAAATGTGGAAAGCCACTTAGTCTCTTACTAAACTGAGTCTATCAGAAAGTGGTTCGAATGTCACTAATTATTTTATATGAATAAGCATGTTGTAGCTTTAAACAAACTTAGGCTTCAGTCTACTTTAAAACTAGAGTGCCAGGATGAAAATAAAGACCCTTCTTTTAGAAATAGAGATGATTGAGTTACATTTAACAAGATGCAGGATGTGGCACTTCAGCTATCTAACAGTGACGGGCTGTTTGCAACCCCAGCAGCTAGATCATATTGCCTTTCCCTCATACAATTTCAGAATAATTTCATAAAAATTACATGATTGACACTATGGCATTCTTCCCATTCTGATTTATTTAAATGTTAATACCTCCATAATAAATATATACTTTAAAAGCATTAAGAAAGAAAGTAAAATAAGCCAATTTTACTCTGGTGAATTTTTAAAATCTTAGTTTATTGTAGAAACCAAGATGGCATTTTTTTTTTTTTTTTTTTTGAGACAGAATCTGGCTCTGTCGCCCAGGCTGGAGTGCAGTGGCATGATCTTGGCTCACTGCAAGCTCCGCCTGCAGGGTTCATGGCATTCTCCTGCCTCAGCCTCCCAAGTAGCTGGGACTATAGGCGCTGCCACCACGC
The DNA here is from genome assembly GCF_000001405.40 of Homo sapiens. Lineage (NCBI taxonomy): Eukaryota > Metazoa > Chordata > Mammalia > Primates > Hominidae > Homo > Homo sapiens. Next base: position 84,206,481 of record NC_000007.14, read on the forward strand.
CTGGCTAATTTTTTCTATTTTTTAGTAGAGACAGGGTTTCAACATGTTAGCCAGGATGGTTGCGATCTCCTGACCTCGTGATCCGCCCGCCTCGGCCTCCCAAAGTGCTGGGATTACAGGCGTGAGCCACCGCGTCCGGCCTTCCAAGATGGCATTTTAGTCTAAGTAAAATTTACATTTATTGATTGCTCTGATTGCTGTTACTTATCTATTAAATGGTCTCGAACTCCTGACCTCAGGTGATCCAACCAGCCCAGCCTCCCAAAGTGGATACTATTAAATGGGTACTTTCTATTAAATGGGTATTTTCTATAGTTCTTTCTCGTTCAACTGCATAAATAAGTGACAGGATATGGTAAAAAAAAAAAATGAGTAAGATATTTTTCTATGTTTTGTATCATAGCAATTACATATTATAGTAAATATCCCTTTCTGTAACTCATTCTATCTCTACTTTGATTACCCACCTTTAAATATTCAATTATTTACAAAGTCTTCCAAAATTATTTATCCTAATTATAGGCACCCAAACAATGATTATCACTATTAGTTAAATCTCTATACATACAGGTGTTTGGGCATGTTTACACATGTTTACACATATTCATCCTGTCAGTAAAGTGCATATTTCATGAATATATTCGTCTTGTAGCACTGCTTTAATCGAGAGACCTCTTCAGTGGTGAGGCTCTTATGGCCTATTTCCTGTGAGGTTCCTAGTAACATTCCTTTCACACAATGGGTCCTCAACAAATGTAAGTGAATTACTTCCTGACTATTGTCATGGTTCCTGGGAGATGCAGGGTGGGGCTGACAGCAAGAGACAAAGCTGGCTGTCAAAACTGTTATTTAGATGAACAGTCAAAGTAGGATTTAAAACAAATTCTGAAGGTTTTCAGAACTCTGCCCATTCTATCAAATCCTGATTCAAATGATTCTATGTATTCCATAACCCACTAAGATTAATTTGAAAAACAAACCAGAATCAGAAAACTGGTTAAAGACCATTTTCTTACTTAAAATATAATTGCTTAAAAGGGCTATGTTAAGAAACTCTGTTTAACTGAAGAAATTACTGTGTTCTCTTTTGGGATGTGTGGAAGAGTAGTTTGTTTTAGGGTAATGAAATATGCTTAAATAATAGAATTTCATTACGTATAGGTTTGACAAAAATGGCTTTCATTTTGCCAAGTTCTCTGACCTATAAGCTAAAACTCAGGCATGATAAAATTTAAGAGGTCAAGTCATCTTCCTGTGGACATAGGTGTAGGAAAAATGTGTCTTCCTTTTCCTAGTAGGTTGGTGGGGCTGTTGCTATGGGAGGCGGGTTTCCCTGCAATTGAGCTGCAATAAAGAAAGACTGCTGTGAGAGAATAAGGCTGTGTGTGGAATGAGGACCCTAAAACAGTGAGACAGTGAGGAGATTGCAGTTATGTGGAGGTTTTTCTTCCTAAGATTATAAGGCATTTTAGTCTTGTGTATTTTATATATGTGTATATGCACACATGCACATGTATGCATACCTACACACATATGTATGCATATTTATGTATAAATGTATATGTGTATATACTTATATATACATGCATGCCTACATTATATACACACACATCCATATTTAATATAATTCAAAGTAGTTATTAAACTTTTGTACCAGGTTATATACTAAAATGTTAAGAATGGAAAGACAAGCCTGGCACTGTGGCTCATGACTGTAATCTCAGCACTTTGGGAGGCCAAGGGGGGCAGATCGTGAGGTCAGGAGATCGAGACCATCCTGGCTAACATGGTGAAACCCCGCCTCTACTAAAAATACAAAAAATTAGCTGGGTGTGGTGGCGGGCGCCTGTAATCCCAGCTACTGGGGAGGCTGAGGCAGGAGAATGGCGTGAACCCGGGAGGCGGAGCTTGCAGTGAGCCGAGATCCTGCCACTGCAGTCCAGCCTGGGTGACAGAGACTCCGTCTCAAAAAAAAAAAGAACGGAAAGACAAATGAATACATTCTCTGCCATCAAAAATTTGCAATTAAATGAGGGAGGCAATGTAAGACTAGCCTTTTAGAAATATACAGCAACCATCTACATGTCATTCAACTATAAACTTTAAAACATGGATAAAAGATAATTACTGTTATCTTTTAAAAAGTATTTAATTAAGCTGAGGTAGTTTCCAGTAATGTGTCATAAAGTAATTCTCTTCTCTACTGAATGATACAAACTCATGAGCGATTTCTGGCATCTTAAGTATAAGTGGAACAGTTGGCTTTGACCCATTTCCTTATTCCAAAGAATTACTCTCAGATTTCAGTCTTGCAAAAAGTGATAAAGGCTAGTTTCAGAAATCAGATTCAGAATACATAAAACTACAGGTTTCTTATTACTGCATTATACATGGATCTAAAGGTAAACACTATCACCTGAGTCTCATTACCAGCATTGGATACTGTGTATATGTAATGCTCTAGAAATTACATTCAACATCTAAATAGAATGTTATTTTATAACAAATGGACTAGTGGCCTATTTACACCTTAATTCAATTTTAAATATTTGTGACAAATACTTGCATTTTAGAATCTTATTGTTCCTCCAAGAGTTTTATTTCATGTATGCTATGGAAGAAACATCACTTTTCATACTTTCATTTTGTTACATATACCTGCATAGAATCTGGAATGAAACTACAAAGTAGAGAAGAACATTGTGTAACCACTTCTTAGTGATTCAGCTAATTTTAGAGTTTAGCCTTTTATATTACTCAGTGATCCAAGTAGGAATGACAACAAAACGATTCTATCATTTAATCACTCCATGTAGTAGGCTGTGTATGTGTGTATGTTTGTGCATGTATTTGTGTGAGTGCAGGCTCAGGTTTAGGCCAAATGCATAGATTATATTATTAAATAACAAATAAAGAGGCAGTACAGTATGATGAGGGAAACCCAACCTGAGTCCTATTTCCAGTTTGGGCACTAACCAATTATGTGTTGAGTTAATGAATTTCTTGGGGGCTCAGTGTCCTTTTCTATACATGAATGAGATGGATTAGATAAATTCCACCTTCTGTTCCTTCTTGTGCTGAAAATAGTATATCCAAAAGTGTACTTCAAAACCATAGTATAAAATGTATCACTTAAATTACTGGCAATATTTAATTATTTGGGTTAGGAGTAAGAATTTAATGGTTCATATTTCTTCATGTAAAACTGTAATTTTAGTTGGATAATAAAATGTAATGGCTGTTATATAATACTCTGCCATTCAAACTATTCAACAATAACTATGATAGCCCCAATAACAACATATAAATTTATTAAATAAAAATATTTGTAATATACTTCCTACACTAGACTCTGAAGTAACAACCTGGGATAAAGTCATTTACATGCTTCTGACATTAAAAATAATTGGTATGCTGCAGAAGAATTTGGCTGAAGTTAAAGTTTCTGGAGGGTGTCTACCATTCTTATTATTTTGGGAAGAAAGTTTACTTTTTTTCCTAAGGGGATCATTAGAGACAATAATGTACATGTTCAATTTACATTATTTTACTCAAGTACATCGAGATATTCACATAGCGAAAGAAAACCAATATTATTGATAATAATTTTATCCAACTTATTTCAATGAATAGTTATCATTTTCAGCCCTGGAATCATTTCCATACACTAAAGTATTTTTTTTGTGGGGAAGAAGAAAATGAATAAGATGTGATTCCTGCCCTTGAGGAGGTCCCAATCTAATGAGGGAAAGAGTTACATAAAAATAAAAAACAAATACAGCATGGTAATTGCTCAGATAACACAGATGATAGGCGCTGAGCCCAACTGGTTTTACAGGAGGCTTCCTGTGGGAGAGGGTGTCTGACTTGGGTCTTAAATGATGAGTAAGAGCAGGTGAAGAAAAATGGAAGAGGTCATTTCAAGGCTCAGCCAAAGTAAAAAAAGCCATAAAATAGGAGAGCGTGTGTGAGTGCAGGAAATGGGAACAATTTTGTCATTAACAGGGTATAAATTGCAAATAAATAGGAGAGAAAAGAGAAATCAGCAGGGGCCTAATCAAAAAGCATTGCTATAGTCATGCTTGTAACTGTAATGTAGGTGACGAAAGCCATGAAAGGATTTTAAGGAAGAGAATGCCATGGGCAGATTTTCTTTTTAGAAAACGGAATATGGTTGCAGTGTGGAGTGATGTATTTACTAGGAACAAACATGGAACTAGGAAGGCTATGCAGGTTTTCTCTTTTTTCTTTTTTCTTTTTTTTTTAGAAAAGGTATTTATTATTTACACCACTGAAACTAGTCCTGTAAGAACAATATACACCATGTTTCTTTAAAATGATTAATTCCTTTCAAATACAAGAACTTCATAAAGCAATATTGTCAACACAAAACAGTGGTAACATTACGTATCTGCAGGCTTAAGCATTGCAAATAATATTTTTTTTTAATGTTATGGCTAGATATTTTTACTGAAACAGTGTTAGCACTTAGACAAGATATATCTGGAACAGAACAAAAACTTTTTGTTCATGTTTTTTATGAATGAATCAGTGATATGTTCCTTTTAAAAATTTGTTGCCTTTAATTGCTTTTATGACAATGGTTTTAGGCAGATTCTACTTAGCCACCAAAAAGAGACTCATTCTCGTTCTTTAGTTTTTATTCTTCAGTCTATGTAGGTTTTTAATGGAATGGTCTATACCAGAGATGACTAAACCCCAAATCATAGCAACTGAATATGAAGAGAGAAGGCACATTAGGTTTGTACAAAGGAGGCAAATATGCTAGCCTTGGTGAAAGGTTGCGTAAAGAGGAGGATAAAGAAGTGGGATTTTAAAACATTTCTCAGCCGGGTGTGGTGACTTACACCTGTAATCCCAGCACTTTGGGAGGCCAAGGCGGGTGGATCATCTGAGGTCAGGAGTTCGAGACCAGCCTGGCCAACATGGTGAAACCCTGTCTCTACTAAAAATACAAAAAAAAAAAAAAATTAGTCGGGCATGCTGGTGCATGCCTGTAATCCCAGCTACTCGGGAGGCTCAGGCAGGGGAACTGCTTGGAACCCATAAGGTGGAGGTTGCATTGAGCTGGGACTGCACCATTGCACTGCAACCTGGGCAACAAGAATGAAACTCCATCTAAAAAAAAAAAAATTATCATAATTCCTGTTATTTGGCACAGATAAATGGAGACATTAACTGAGACCAGCAAGAAAAGAAAAGGTGTGAATATGCCTGAGGAGACAGAAAGCAGTTGAATTTTGAACTTGCTGATTTTGAGAAGAGTAACAAGTTTGTATTTTAGGTACCCATAAGCATTTGGGAATTCATTTAAAGCTCACATGCCAGAGACAAAAATTGGTCTATATGTGGGATTCAAGATCAATGTAAAGACAAAAAGTAGGCTGAGGACAGAACTCTGCATTGTGGTGAGGAACAGGTAAAAGAGTATAACTTTAGCTAGAATAATGAAACAACCAACCTGGGAAGAACCGGGGAAAGTAATGTCATGCATATCCACGTAGAAACTGTTACAACAGTCAGCCAAATATGGAAGACGAATATTCGGGAGCAGAGCATTGCATGTACTATTTGAAGGAGTTAGGTGGAAATCATAGGTACCCCATGAAGAACAGAGGTGGTAGCAGAAAAAGAAACCACATTGCAGTTGGTTTGGGAGACCAAACTACAAGAGAAATAATTAACTAATAATTCTCTGATTTTGACTAATCAGTGCTCTCTCTTTCTCAAATATAAAAAGATTTAAGAATTATTTTCTGTCCTAGAAGTTTGAATTCACAATGAAAGTGAAAATATTTACTCTAAAAACAAAAACTATTTAGAACACACAGTTTTTCATTTATCATCACCATATTGGGGAAATTAATTCTCTTTTCTTTTAAATGATTCAATTTCATCTACTTCTCCATTTCCCCAACAAGTGTTTTCACAGTCCTCTAACAGAAATTGATTCACTGATCACAATGTAATATTATGCCCTTAGCTTTGTTTTAGGTTGCTATAACAAATGATCTTATGAAGAATACTCTTACGATGTCTGCAAAACCACTATTCATTATACTAGTCAACATCTCAAATAATGACACACATGATAAATTTCTCCCAGAATTTAGTGCTAGAAAGTGTTTCCTCTGTTGGAGAACTGATATACTTATTTTTATCAGTAAATTAAAATGTATTTCCTTTTTAACCTTCCAGTGGATAGGAAGTTTAAAATGAAACAATGTGGTGTGGAAACCAGCTTTTTCACATTTCCTAGTTGGTAGCTGGAGTATATATTTTCCTTTCTTTTATGACTTTTCTTGTTCTGTAATAGCTTAATTGTTTATACATATCTGCATATGTGTGTTTATCAAAATCATTATCAAGTTTTATTAAAAATAAGTAGTACATAACAGCAATAAAAATATTAGTAATATATTATTTGGTTCACATTTTATTTCAGTCTCTCTTCCTTATTTCTTAATTTTTTCTTTTTTGAGACGGAGTTTCACTCTTGTTGCCCAGGCTGGAGTGCAATGGCTCTATCTTGGCTCATCGCAACCTCTGCCTACAGGATTTAGGGTTCAGGGTTCAAGCGATTCTCCTGCCTCAGCCTCCCTAGCAGCTGGGATTACAGGCATGTGCCACCATGCCCGGCTAATGTTGTATTTTTAGTAGAGATGGTGTTTCTCCATGTTGGTCAGGCTGGTCTTGAACTCCTGACCTCAGGTGATCCACCCGCCTCAGCCTCCCAAAGTGCTGGGATTACAGGCGTGAGCCATGGTGCCCGGCCTGTTTCTTAATTTTTTTTTAAGACAAGTCTTGCTCTGTCATCCAGGATGGAATGTAGTGGAGTGCAATAATAGCTCACTGCAGCCTCAGACTCCTGGGCTCAATGGATCCTCCTGCCTCAGCTTCCCAAGTATCTTGGACTACAGGCATGTACAACCACACTCAGCTAATTTTTATTTTTAAATGTTTTTTATAGATGAGGTCTCACTTTGCTGCCCAGATTGGTCTTGAACTCCTGGCTCCCAAGTGATCCTCCATCCTTGGTTTCTTAAAGTGCTGGGATTATAGGCATAAGCCACTGTACCTGACCTTTTCTTTATTTTTGAAGCTCCTATTTCCCTCCCATGCAAACATTGGCATAATAATAATTTGTGTAGTACCACTTTAATTAAAGATAAATCTTTCTCTATTTGAGTTTTCTCATCAGTTATTTTCTTCCTTTTTCATATATTTAATTCCAAGAAAATAGATGCAAAAGAATTTAATACTGGCTTAAAAAGCATTATTTATTAATTTATTATGCTTGTCTTAATTTTTAATTACAAAATTTTGAGCCTAGTACCAAATAGTACTTTCATTTCTAAAAAGGGAGGTTGCCCCAGCACTATCATGGAAATAGAGGCATTGGGCTATGGCCCTCAACACGACATCCAAGTGTGTTACTAACTTACCTTTTATTTGCTCCAAGTCATCTGCTTATAAGAAGAGAATATGATAGTTATGAAAATATGAGCATTGTGGTTTTGTGACATTTATGTTTCTCATTGTACCTTAAGAATAAACATTGCAATTGATTTCATGATAATAACATGCATCAGTTTTCAATGCCCACAATAAGCCAGACATTGGACTATGAATAGATACTTTTTTGTACAATAAGTTTAATCTCACAACAGTATGCTGCAATATATTAAAAAAAATTATCCCCATATTACCAATGACCAAACTAAGCCTGGGCAAATTAAGTAATTTTATGTCTGACAGTAAAGCTCCTATTGCATTTTTTGTTAACATTTCCTCTATACAGTTGCAACTCAGTTGGACTTACATTGTATGTCTCGTTAGATAATATAATACCAACATTATCTATATAAAGGATTATATTTTTTCAAATTCATCTCCCTTGTGAAATTGGGACAAATATTCTACCAGCACTGTTATTCTTTAAATTACATTTATTAGAATGATATAGATTCTTATACTCACAAAACATGATGAGGAAACATATTATTCCAACTTCCTGTATACAGGGAACAGTTGAATTATATACAATGTCTATCTTCTCACCTCAGAAGAGTTCCTAGGATAGAAGCCCTAAGCTCTGCATTCTTACACATAAATAATCAAAGGCCAAAAGCTGCTGTTCCCCCTGACATGCTCTCTAATTGCTACAGCTCTTTCCTGTATCTACTTAGAGCTTACTTTTTTTTTTTTTTTTTTTGAGACAGAGTCTTGCACTGTCGCCCAGGCTGGAGTGCAGTGGTGTGATTTGGGCTCACTGCAACCTCTGCCTCCTGGGTTCAAGCAATTCTCCTGCCCCAGCCTCCTGAGTAGCTGGAATTATAGGCACCTGCTACCACACCCAGCTAATTTTTTTGTATTTTTCATAGAGATGGGGTTTCACCATATTGGCCAGGCTGGTCTTGAACTCCTGACCTTAGATGATCCGCCCCCCCTTGGCCTCCCAAAGTGCTGGGATTATAGGCGTGAGCTACCACACCCAGTAGCTGGGATTCCAGGCGCATGACACCACGCCAGGCTAATTTTTTGTATTTTTAGTAGAGACAGGGTTTCACCATGTTGGCCAGGCTGGTTTTGAACTCCTGACCTCACGATTTGTCTGCCTCAGACTCCGAAAGTGTTGGGATTACAGGTGTGAGCCACCGCGCCTGGCCCTTATTTTATTTATTTATTTATTTATTTTTTGGACGTGGAGTTTTACTCTTGTTGCCCAGGCTGGAGTGCAATGGCGTGATCTTAGCTCACTGCAACCTCCCCCTCCTGGGTTCAAGCAATTCTCCTGCCTCAGCCTCCTGAGTAGCTGGAATTATAGGCACCTGCTACCACACCCAGCTAATTTTTTTGTATTTTTCATAGAGATGGGGTTTCACCATATTGGCCAGGCTGGTCTTGAACTCCTGACCTTAGATGATCCGCCCCCCCCTTGGCCTCCCAAAGTGCTGGGATTATAGGCGTGAGCCTCTGCACCCAACCCAAATCTTACTCATTTTGAATAAGACTGTGCTCTCCCTGACAACTCAATTTAAACCAGTAACTCTTTTTTCCTGTCCCCTAGCTCTATTTTAACCCACAGCCCTTATTGCCATCTGCCATATTATATGCCTTACTTGTTTATGTGGATTCTATTAACCTCCTCTATTAGAAATAACTCTCTATGCCACATCTGTTTTATTCCATATTCCTAGCATTTGGAATTGTGCCTGGGACATAGTAGGTATCACTAAATAGTTATTGGATGAATAAATTCATAGAATACCTAGTATAACTGGGGAAAATTAATGAACTAATTTTTCATTCACTCTGAAACAAATATTATTTTTCTAGGTCATGTGGAAAATATGTAGTCTTTTATAAAAGGGCAAAGACAAGATTGTAGTGTCAGTTAAAAATGTATATGTGTACATATAGATACACACACACACACACATAATTACCTCAAAATGAGAAATGAACTGTTAAACATTATTATTCATTTATTGAACAAATAGCTATTAAGGATGATCTTTTTGTCTTTTATTGAAAAGTGATTCCTCTGGTAGTAAAAAATAATCTATCCTTCAGAATTTTTTTATTGACAGAGCCTCGCTCTGTAGCCAGGTTGGAGTGCAGTGGCACGATCTCAGCTCACTGCCACCATCTCGGCTCACTGCCACCATCTTTGCTCACTGCCACCTCTGCCTCCTGGGTTCAAGCGATTCTCCTGCCTCAGCCTCCCAAGTAGCTGGGACTACAGGCGCTCGCCACCACACCCGGCTAATTTTTGTATTTTTAGTAGAGACGGGGTTTTACCATGTTGGCCAGGATGGTCTCAATCTCCTGACCTCATGACCCACCTGCCTTGGCCTCCCAAAGTGCTGGGATTACAGGCGTGAGGTATGTCACCTGGCCTCAGATTTTCTTATAGATAAGAGCAGTTGGAAGAGTAGCTCATTGCATTAGGATATTAAGAATCTATGGTGAATATTTTTTAAAGCATTTTTTCAAACCTGATCCTTTCTTCAGCTTGAATTTTACTGATATTTTTTAGATAGATTAAAACAGCACAACAGAAGAGTGACCTCAAGTTATGCCACTGAAAATAAGAAAGAAACTGTGTAACAGTCATGCCTCTGAGTCATGTTAGGCAGAATGACAAATGGACAATGATACACATAATGACATGGGAGTCTCTGGCTTTGTACAGAGGTCCATAAATATTTTGCACATGCTTGGAATACATGGACGTCCAGTTGACAGACTCTCCAAGAAAATTCTAAAATTAGATACTAGATCTAAATTGGTCTCAAGCATTTAATAAAAAGGAATGTCCTCAGAGGCTTTTAGGTCATCACACAAAGGGGTCTTCATTATGCTTTACTTAGCATTGCGCCTTGCAAGCCATTTTGGAAAAATTGAGTCAAAAGAGCTGAATATGAAGACATTGATTCACTTTCCCCCCATATTGCAATCAATTTGAATAGCAGCGGATATGCGATTCATGTTAATTGTGCCAAAACAGCAGCAGCATGAATGTTAAATTATTCACCATGTTCACAAACTGTCACATGGAGCAAATAGCCAACTATTCAAAATAATTGCAAAAAGATTGGCACAGCTGTAATGTGTTTTCAGTGTGTATTTTATATCCTCCTGAAACCAATGGTTAACGCAGAAAGGAATGCCTCTCTTTGATAGACTTAGATGGGAATTTAAATTTCATTCATAAGTGTTTCAAGCAAAAATTAATTAATTCATCTGTTTATAACTTCCTCCTCTCTAAAAAAGTAAAAATATCAAAATATTTCCAGGATAGAAGAAATCAGCAATAAAAAGTGAACCCTCAAAGATATGTTGATGATGCATTGACAGGTGCTTTGTCTCCTATGGTTAAAAGGAAACAAAGTCATTATTTCTAAATTGCAGCCCTGTCTATTTTTATGCTAATAAACACACTTGACCCTATATAAAAAATCTGTTTCCATTCTAAACATTATGTTATAATATGGCTTACTAAATCTACCATGTGCTGTGGTGTTTAAATGTGCTACATTTTGAAAAGATGAAGGGAAAAGATGGGGTATGAAGAGGGAATCACAGAAGAATAGGAGGGCAGAAATAAGAAAGAAGTAAAACAACTCAAGGTTTAAAAACTTTAAAGTATCTTTCTCAGATCTCTTGAGGCAAGAGTTCAATAGTTCAAGACTTCATTGAACTATGATCCTGCCAGGGCACGCTAGCCTGAGTGGCAGAGTGAGACTCTGTCTCTTCAAAAAAAAAAAAAATTATCCTCAGGCTGCTCAGGCTGGGTACCATCGCTCATACCTGTAACCCAGCACTTTGGGAGGCAGAGGCAGGAAAATCACTTGAGGCCAGCAGTTTAAAATCAGCTTGGGTGGGTAACAAAGTAAGACGCCATCTCTACAAAAAATTTAAAAAACATATTAGCTAGTGTGTTGGTATGCACCTGTAGTCCCAGCTACTTGGGAAGCTAAGGCCTCTGGTTAGGAAAAAAAAAAATTCTCTCATACAAGGTTAATTGACTTTTATCTTTATTTCAAAATGTCTTGGTGATATTTTTTGTATAATTTAATATAATTCTTACTTGAGAAAAAATCTTAAATGTTACATTTGTATAGTAGAATTTCAGATAAATGGTATATTTTGTTTCTAAATTGTTTATATTCAAAATCCTAAAATTTGAAATATTTTTGGTATGATTCCTTGATCTGCATATTGCAGATCTTTGGTCCTTGTCGATGGGATTTTTTAATACTAATAATGATTTAAAAATTTAAGATGTTTTATTATATAAAAAGAGTTTTGCCCCAACAACTAAGTTGCATATAGTACTTCAATCTGGAAAGCTAAATAAAGAGAATTAGAATTCTTAGACTTCCCATGAATTACATGATCTTATCTTCTGCATTCGGATAGATTAAGGATTATTGTTTCATAATCCCTAGTTTTCTTGCTTCCTAATAGAAAATTATGTATAAAAGACATAAAAATAATTTAGGCAAAATTGCTTAGAAACATCAAACTGAATATCAAAACCCCCAAATCTGCTCATTATTTTTTGGCCTCAATTCAATTTGATATTCAATTTGAATTTTTGCTATTCAGTTGGCCTTCATTAAATAATGGAGATGAATGACATTTTTTCTTAAAAATAAATAATGCATTGGTGATAGGTAGGGATTTCAACTGAGTATGGTAATATAAATGACACATTTAGCATGACCTTATCTTCCTATAGCTTGTCCCTTTAATTTTTCCTAACTTAGAGGAGACGACTCTACTCTGGGTGGTGAAGACATACAATATTCTATATTTAACCTCCCCATCATATTACTCTATGCCTTCCTATCTTCAGTTATGTTGAAATCATGCCTAACTGTCTTTGGCAGGATCCCAACAGGAAATTGACGACTCAATCCTACTCAAAATAGGAAACTTTGAATAAGGTTTATTTATTTACAAAGGAAATATTTCAAAAAATATTGGTATGGAGGATCTACAAAGCACTCACTACTCCTCTCAAGGAGACTGACTCTACATAATCCTTTCCCTCTGACTTCTAGTAACAGCTCCACATCACCAACAAAAGACTGATAAACCAGTGAGAATAAAATAAACCAGTGACAAAAAAATCATCTTCAATAAAAATTAAAAGGACCTTTACTAAAGATACTTAATTATTTATTCTTATATCTAATAATTTTATATTCTCACCTCACTTGCAAATAAAATGAATATGTGCAGCCTGTCAAAGGATTGGAAGTCTTTTCAGATGTCTGACAGAAGATCTTCAGAACTACTCCTTAGTATGATATAAGGTGGGAGAACATATCTAAGTGGATGTAGATCTACAGAGATCTTATTAAGGCTTTCGGTATAACTAAGTACACACAAAAATAGTTAAAGAACTAGCTATAGAACTTTCTGAGGAAGTCTGGCCTCATCATGTATAGTCATAACTCAGAGATATTGCAGGTTAGATTCCAGACCACCCCAATAAAGTGAATATCACAATAAAGTGAGTCATACAATTTTTGTTTGTTTCCCAGCACATATAAAAGTGATGTGTCAACTATACTGCGGTCTATTAAGTTTGAAAGCATTATGTCTAAACAAAAAATGTCCACACCTTAATTTTAAAATACTTTATTGCTAAAAATTGCTAAGAATCATCTCAGCCTTCAGCAACTAAAATCTGTTGTTTAGTGTAGTTACCTTCACTAATTATCTTAGCTGTATCTTCTGGATGACTTGTTGCAGCTTCTCCACAGCACTTGCTGCTTCAACTTGCACTTTTATGTTATGAAAATGGCTGCTTTTCTAAACCGCATGAACCAACCCCTGCTAGCTCTTTTTCTGGTGAAGGGTCTTGACTTAATGTTGACGGCTGCTGACTGATCAGGGTGGCAGTTGCTGAATTTTGGGGTGGCTGTAGCAATTTCTTAAACTAAGACAACAATGAAGTTCACCATATCCATTGTCTCTCCCTTTCATGAATAATTTCTCAATAGTATGTGATGCTGCTTGAGAGCATTTTAGCCCAGTGGAATTTCTTTCAAAATGTCTCAAACCCTGCCCATGCATTATCAACTAAGTTTGTGTAATATTCTAAATATTTTGTTATTTCAATAATGTTCACAGCATCTTCAGCAGGAGTAGAATCTATTTTAAGAAACCACTTTCTTTCTTCGTAGGAAGGAAATCCTCATCCGTAAAAGTTTCATTATGAGATTGCAGTAATTCAGTTACATCTTTAGGCTACATTTTTAATTCCAGTTCTCTTGATAATTTCACCACCCCTGCAATTATTTCCTCCACTGAAGTCTTAAAATCCTCAAAGTCATCCATGAGGATTGGAATCGACTTCTTCCAAACTTGTGTTAATGTGGATATTTTGACCTCACCCCATGAATTGTGAACGTTCTTCATGGCAACTAGAATTAATCATTTCCAGGTTTTGGATTTACTTTGACCAGATCCATCAGAGGAGTCACTATCAGTGGGAGTTATAGCCTTATGAAATGTATTTCTTAACTAATAAGACTTGAAATTCAAAATTACTCCTTGATCCCTGAGCTACAGAATAAATGTCATATTATGAGGCATGAAAACAACATTAATCTCCTTGCACATCTCCATCAAAGCTGTTGGGTAATGAAGTGCATTGTCAGTGAGCAATAATATGCTGAAAGGAATCTTGTTTTCCTGAGCAGTAGGTCTCAACAAAGAGCTTAAAATATTCGGTAACCCATGCTCTAATCAGACGTGCTGTCACACAGACTTCATTGTCCCATATGCAGTGCACAGGCAGAGTAGATTTAGCATGATTCTTAAGGGTCCTAGGATCTTCAGAATGGTAAGTGAACATGACCCTCAAGTTGAAATCACCAGCTATATTAGCTTCTAACAAGAGAGTTGGTCTGTGCTTTCAAATGTTGAAAACAGGTATTGACTTCTCCCTAGCTATCAAAATCTTGGATGGCATCTTCTTCCAATAGAAAGCTGTTTCATCTACTATGAAAATCTGTTTAGTGTAGTCACCTTCATCAATTACTTAGCTACATCTTCTGAACAACTTGTTGCAACTTCTGCATCAGCACTTCCTGCTTCACCTTGCACTTTTATTTTATGGAGATGGCTTCTTTTCAAGACCTCATGAACCAAACTCTGCTGGCTTCAAACTTTTCTTCTGTAGCTTCTGCACCTCTCTCAGCCTTCACAGAATTGGAGAGTTAGGACCTTGCTTTGGATTAGACTTTGGCTTAAGAAAATGTATCTGGTTTGATCTTCCATCCAGACCACTAACATTTGCTCCATATCAGCAATAAAGCTGTTTTACCTTCTTATCATTTGTGTGTTCACAGGAGTAGCACTTTTGAATTTGCTTCAAGAACTTCTTTGCATTCATAACTTGGCTAGATTTTTGGTACAAAAGGCCTAGCTTTGGGCCTATCTCAGCTTTCAACCTGCCTTTGTCACTAAGCAAAATCATTTTCTACCTTTTGATATAAAGTGAAAGAAGTGCAACTATTCCCTTCATTTGAACTCTTAGAAGCCAATGTAGAATTATCAATTGGCCTAATTTAAATACTGAAATTATTGTTCTAAAACAAAGTATTAGGAAGACCCTAGGAGAGGGTGAGAGATGAGGAAATGGCCAGTGAGTAGAGCCGTGAGAACACACATAGCATTTATTGATTAAGTTTTCTGTCTTACATAGGCATAGTTTATGGCATCCCAAAACAATTATAATAGTAACATCAAGGGTCAGTAATCACAGATCACCATAACAAATATAATAATCTAAAAGTTTGAAATATTGCAAGAATTACCAAAATGTGATACAGACATGAAGAGAGCACATGCTGTTGAAAAAGCGGCATCTATAGACTTTCTCTATGCAGTTTTGCCAAAACCTTCAATTTGTAAAAAAAAACACAATATCTGGGAAGTGCAGTTAAGTGAAGCATAATAAAACAAGATACGCCCGTATATCAATACCTAATCCTCTGTCATATGGTTCTCTACAGTATTACGAATATAATCTAGTCATTGCTTCCAAAATTCATTTTTATACCTCTGAGAGACTTCTCAAGATAGCAAGACATATGCCAAGGGAAAAAAACTTTTTCATTGATTATCATCTTGCACCCTATGCTATTAAATGAAAAAATGATCTAACAATATTTGAATTAAAATATAAAGGGAATTAAATTTTTAAGTTTTATATCTGTGACACTGAATATAACCTCTAAATTATAAATATCATGTCCTATCTTCAGGTATTCTTACACTTATAAATAAAGCAGAAGTGCATAGTCACCAATGATAAATACCTAGATGCAAGACAGGTTACCATGACTTTTCTCAAACACATTAAAATAATAATAAGGAGTATAGGACAAGCAGGAATAGCTATAAGCAGGCTAATCCATCATTTGTAATATTGTAAGCAGATAAGATAAAAAAGAATGACAACATTTAAAATTTCATATTTCCTTAGCAATTGGCATAACTGTTTGCTTGGAAATGACACTTCCTAACAAAGCAGCCTATGAAGAATTAGTTTTACTTTTGTTCTAAAGCTTAATATTAATTGTAAACATATGGTAGATTTTCCCTAAGAAAAATGCATATATTTTATATAAACAACAATTATTTTTTAATTGCAATAAACTTGGTTTTAATACAGAAATGTTTATTGATCCTAAGTAAATATTGTCAGCCTTATTCATTTACCCATTAAATCATTATTCAAGCACATAATGCCAATAATGTTGCCAAGCTGTTCAAGGGCAACGGTTCTCAAATTTTGCTATGTTGGTATCACTAGGGAAGCTTTTGCAAAATACAAATACATAGAAACTTGCTCATTCAGGATCCAAAGATGTAGAACATAATTATCTGTTCTTAATAAGTTCTTCAGATGATTTCTACACCAGAAACAGATTAAACAAATTAAAATGCTTCTCAATATAAAATCTTAGAATTATTTCTGGACACATTATATAGGTACAACAAATATTGTATAGCAGGTTCCTTTGGCATGGCAACTTACAAAACAGATGTGGACTAAGAAAAGATTTGCACCTTCATTAAAACTTTGAGGACTAAAGACAGGCAAGGGAAGATCTTTGATAAAAATAATGCTAACAATAAGAAAAGTGCCAGAGTCTCACCAAAGTTTAGTTAATGTTTCACGAAGAAGAAATAGGGTAAGAAGAAAAACCATCAGAGTAGTAAGTAAAGCTGCTTTGTTACCTCTCTCCATATAGAGGTGTGTATGTATGTTTGCATGTGTGTATGCATGTAAATGTGTGTGTGTGCATGTATATACATATATATACACACATATTTGCCCAACACATTACATTATCTGTAATATTGTCTTTGTGATCAATGGAGAGGTTAAGCCACTGACAAAGTTCAAATCTTACTGATAGAATCTCTTTTTAATATCATGATTCTTTAATGTTTTAGAAAATAACAAACTTACTTGATGAGATTGCATATAATTACATACAGAAAAAGCAAAAATTTAAGCTACTTATGTTTCAAAATTCAACTCAATATACAGTGTGTTTCTGTATGTAAGAGTTAACCAGTTAGAATGGGGATTCTAAAAACCATAGAAAACAGGCTCTGAGGAGGAATACTTTATATGTATTTGAAAAACTAAGGCTTTAACATATGAAACCAATATAGGGAATAAAGATAATAAAATTAACATGACATGTAGAGAATTCCAGATATCATGAACTTTAGGAAAGATAAGATGATATCATAGTTTAGAAATAAAATGGAAATCTTAACTGAACCCAGTTGCAGAGTTCACCAGGAGAAAACCTTACGGCTTATATTACATACTTCTATTGAAATAAATGTCCAGGCATACATAAGGATAATTACAAGAATAAAATCTTGCCAAAAGCAAGGACCAATATGGAAATAAAAGTGCATGGCCAAGGAATTTCTTTAAAAAGCTTCTATAGAAATGTATATTTAAAAAGGGGTTAATAGGATAATTTATTGAAATTGTACATTATTAGATATTGAGAATAAACAAAATGAATTATAATTTTCTCACACATTTCCCCCATCTTTAATTTAATCATTCATTTGCCCTGTATTCTACATGTCCTATTTCATACTAATTTAAAGGCGACTAATTTATACCAAAGGATAGAGGAGAGCATTAAAGTGACCTATGTAAGAGATGACACTCATAAATCAATTATTGGTGTTTCATTTTTTATCTGAAGGTCTAACTCAAAAGATATTGGCTTTGCCTACAATTAAAGTTTTTTACTTTGTAAATTACAGAAAAATTCAAATATTACAGTGTTAATTGTGTTCTCTGTGTGACAGAAAGGAATTTTAGAGATGATCTTCACAACTCAAATTTTCTGGATTTAATTATTTATAAGAAATTGTCTGGTAAACACACCAAAGGGTAAGAGGTCACTTAATTTTTTGCTCTATTTATGTTTTAAAAAAAACAGACAACATCATGATGAATGAGTATTGACCCAGAGCTAAAACATTCCCAGGAAAATATACATTATGAACTATACACAATCCATTAAACAAGACAAAGTCCATTCCATTTTAGTTTCTTTCTAGGCAGTGTGAGGAAAGAGAGAGATTTAAGACACCTTGAGCACCCTTTCGAGTGCCACTAATGAAATAAATAGTATTTGTTGTCACATCACCCACTGGGAAGTAGGTGTGATTTCATGCTTTTTCATTTGTCACTCTCCAGTTGAATAACGGTTCTTTTATAGACAGACCTTTTTCCCATAGCTGGTAACTCTACATAGAAGTTAACTGATTCATTGGTTTTTCCCTAGAATCTGTGGATCCTTGGGATAGCAAGCCATCAATACTGCATATTATTAGGTCCAACTCCTGCTATGAAAATAAGATGATCCTGCTTTATAGCCCCCCCTAGTATATGTAATGGAACTCTATGTCATTAGAAGGAGCAAAGTTGAGGAAGAAATGAATTACAAAGTATAGAATGAGAATAAGTTTCTTGTAGGCCTAATAGGAAATACTTTAAAATAGTATTTTTGTGCTTCACAGAAAAGTTAAATTTATTTTTCTAATTGGTTACACATCAGTGACTTCTAATTCTATGTCTCATGATTCTCAGATTTAATACAATTTTAGAAAAGTATTGCACATAGTGTAAAGAGAGATAAACCATGATAAAGAGATCTAAGTTTGTGGTCACTGCTCTGTAGAACATGAACAGCATGTAATTCAATAATTAAACATTTTATCATATTGCACACATTGTGCTTGACCTTGATGTGCCAGAAATTGTTTCTTATGGGGAAAAGATGACACATCCAAAGTTGTGGTAAGAAATTAAAAATCCCCAAACCAGTTTATCTATTTAGAGAAAGCAAGATTATTGCTTTTGCGTGACCCATACGAAAGTAACGAAGTAGGTCTTGGAGGTTTGTTGATCTGCCATTAGTGGAATATCTCTTTCACAAGCAACAAAGAATGAATGCAGAAGAGGTGTCTGGCCCTCTTTGAAAAGTGAGGAGGCTCTGTTTATAAACTAAAGAAGTTGTTTTTAATATCTTAAATCTTGTGCAACATATTCAATGTGTTTGCCTGCATCAATCACCCCGAGGGCCAAATGTAAATTCCTAGGTCATCTCACGGAGGCAACACAAAGACACTCACACAGTATGTGCTCTACCTTGTGGAGAAGCATGCAAGAAAGGTGCGTGTAGGATGTGGACATAATGGTATAAAAGAATTCTAGGCAGCTAGAGTGGGATAGTAGGAAGTGGAAAGAAAGTGAAAAGAATAAGATAACGTGCTGTCTACTTTACAAGCAGTTGCATGAAGATTAATGGGCTAATTTCAGAGAAGCACTTAAACAGTTGTGGATGCCAAGTTTAAACATTATTATTTATTAGTTGGCTATGTGGTAAATTTCCCCTGAGAGCACAAGTGAAAGCCATATAAAAATGTATCTTCTTATTCAATTTCAATATGCATATTGCATATATGGTAGATTTTAATTGTGTAAGAGCGTTTGGAAAGATAGTATATCATCTTGAAGTAAGTCTAAGAGAAAAATTATATTTTTCCAAATATGTAAGCATAATCAGTATTCCAGGGGTGAGGAATCAGAAATTAACCATTAAACAAGACATTCTGTCCCTAGAGAACAAGATTCAGGACAGGGAACATAAATTCAGAATGGTGTTGTTGGGAACAGAAAAGGTGTCAGAAATCACACATTTTGCCATGGACTCCCCTATAAGAAAGTCTTAAAATAAAATGTCTTTAAATGTACAAGTAGAACCCATAAAGCTTTACAAAAACTAAAAAAACAGAGGCTTAGAGAACCCAGACTTTCAAGTGTTATGGAGAAATTCTGAAGCACTTTGAAAATTTGTCTACAATAAAATTATAAGGCATAGCAAACAAGAATAAGTGTTCATGCAGTAAAAATCATATCTATAACTTTTTCAATGTAGTTTGTTACCCACGAGAGTAACCAAGAGGTTAAAATATATTATCACTCTTTAAAATAAGTGTGATTTTTAAAGTGCCACATTGTAGTTGGGCAAAAATTTATAGCCAATATTGTAGTCAAAATATCATATTCCAATTAAAAGCCAAAGAGCCAAATATTTACAATCTTTCTGTATTTTCTATTCACATAGCTATGTTCTATAATAAATATCCAACACTCACTCCACAGTAACCAATATCTGAAGTTCAAAAAGCAAGATAATTTTGGTATACAGTTTTCAAAAACATCTAGTAGAAATGACATATTATTCTATTCCTAATGGCTGTGGCATTTTGGAAATGAAGATTTATAGTCAGTTATCATTGCCTATAATTATAGAGATGCCATTAAAAACCCTCTGTGCATTAAATATGCCTCACTGATTCAACCCTCATTATTTAACGCTTGAGGATTTTTCTTTGTAGGATAGAGAGACAATAGAAATGAGAGCAGCTATGCTGTACAAGGTTAATTTGTGAATGATAAATGAGTGGTTTAAAATGAACTGCATAGGTTACAGTTTAAACAGGTTTTGGCAGAAAACCAGTTTTCTCTATTGGCGATATCTATTTATATCTATATAGATATCTATATATCTATCTATATATGTATCTATATATCTATATCTATATAGATATCTATAGATAGATAGATATGAAGAAGATTCAACAGCCAACAGCACAGGAGAAATGTAATTGACTAATGTAGGAAGTCTTTCTTGAGACAGATTAAAGAGTTTATCAAGATATTTTTCAATCTCAAAGCAGCCAAGATTTGTGATCCTAACTTCAAACCAGCAAGCATTCATTTGCTACCTCATTTCTTGAAACAACAGCAAAACTAAAAATACATTTTTTTTTGCTTTAAATAAGTGTGTCTCGTGTGACAGTTGAAAAAACAAAATGCATTTCAATGAAATAGCTGCCTGGAAAAGTCATTCTATCCATCTTCTCAATTTATTCAATTGAACTCTGGTAAATCAAAGCCACTTTCTTATTATATTATTTGTCTTTAAAAGAGGAGTTCTACAGCCATGAGTGTTTTCCCAATAATTATGAGTAGGCATCCTTACAGGCATTCTACTTCAAGGTATTAGTCCTGATGCCTGGGGTGTGGTGAGATTGGAGGTGTATTATTTCTTTACTATGTAGGACCACCTGTGTGATGTGATTTGAATGGAACTGAAATACCCGGCTTATGCAAAATAACTCCCCCACCAGACTATCACAGAAACTAACCCTTCTTTGCCAGTTTGAAATTCTCATTGCCAAGTAATTTTCTCCTCTTTCCCTAGCTACTGAAAGCTGGTAGATGATGTAAATGATGTAAGTCTCTGTGTGTGTGTGTGTGCGTGCGTGTGTGTGTCAGGGAGTGGGGGGCGGGGGCAGGTAGTAGTTGTATGGGAATGGTAAGAAAAGGAAACAGATAATGAGATTAAAAAAATGATTAAAACATGAAATATGCCTTTAATACTTTCATAAATTCTTCTGTTCTATCAATATGGAGGGCAAGATATGGGTTGGGTTGGCTGGGTGCAGAGATGTGGCAACATAGATGTACTCTAAAAATGGGTGATGAAGCCAGAGTACAATGAGCTAGGATGAGATGGTTGGGCCTGGAATAAATGGAGGACTAAGCAATGGGCAAATTGGGAACTATGAAGTAAAGGAAACATTTCACTAATGAGAAAATAGAAATAATCTTAACCAAGATTGAATCAAAATTAGTGGGACCTTAAGGAGGCTACAAATACCGTACCCCATCACACAAATATTCTGTACTTATTTAGCATTCATTGATTGGGGCTACTAAGAAACTGATTTTCATTTAATAAAATGTTACCTCATTATAAACATTAAAAATAGACTATATATATGCTGAGTATTTTCTATTTGCCCATCCAAAACCTCTCTCTATCTTGTTTATCTTCTGTGTCCACAAAATGATTAACAGCAAAGGTAAAAATTCATGTATATATACTTCAAACTATCATGTTATATATGGTAAATACATAAAAATTTATCTGTCAATTTAAACGAATACATTTAGAAAAGAAAAAAAACATCAATTGAGTCTGATGTTTTCTGGGTTCTATTTGGGGTTTGCCAATGGGGATTAACAGCAGGAGATCAGAGTGAATGAGAAAGGGAATGAAAGCAAGTTAAGTACCATGTTCATTTGCCGGGATTCCTCCCTGCAGGATTTCATGGGCTGACTGCAACCTTCCTGTCTGTTTTTCCAAATTCTGTAAACACTTCTTCCCTTCCACTCCTTTAAGTCCTATGGTTGATCATGGTGCCTTCTATTGAAGACCTGTAATACCTCATTATCCCTTGAAATTTCCCTAAACCCCACCAATATCTTTCTAAATTGTCCCTTTATTAAACTTGCCTCAAATTAACCATTTTTAGTGTGCCAGCTGTTTTCTTCCAGAATTCTGACTTATTTTTCTTACTTTTATACTAATTTGAGATTGTCTTTCATATCTCCTTTTTGGTTTTTTGTCACTTGTAACTACCAGCAGAGGCACTCACACTAAAAGTGGCTGATTAAACATGGATATAGTTTTACAAGGTTGCTTTAAAATTGTGGACTAAATTTGGCAAAAAAAAAAGTTTTTTTGTTATGTTTTTCCCAAGTCTCTTTTTGAGCAGTAGTATTTTCCCTTGATAATAAAACCAAATAATTCAGACATTCATTCACCATGAACAATTAAAAAGCATTTTTAAAAGTTTAATATAACTCAAAATTGCAAATTAAACTCATTAGGCCCCCTCTTAGTAGTAAATTTTATTTCATACATAGAGTGAGTGACACAGCATTTACTAGAATCTCATAGATAAACATACACTTTTTCCTTTGAGTTTCATTATCAATCTATTTAACCTTGGATTATTATTTAACCTTGGATTGCTGATTAAGCACAACATGCCATCTGGCAGAATTTGCTTTTCCAGACAAATTCTTTTAAAAATATTTCTTAGTTTCTGGGGACTACCATAATGAAATCTTATGGCCTCTATAGTTTTTCAGTGTCTTCAAGTCTTATATTTCTATATCAATGTTAGTTCATAATGAAAGGTTTTCTGTAGAGTAGAAACAAAATAATAAAATTTAATTTTGATTTTTATAATGGAACACTATTAATTTCTGGACTCTCTATCCAGAGAACAGTTATATTAATCCCTTTCTCTATTATCTCTGGTATACTTCCCCACTTTCATCTTTCCTTGGTTCTTTTCTTTCGAGTCAACAAGCGTGCCCAATTTCCTGACCTTATGGAAAGAAAAATAAAAACAATTGTAGTAAAGAACAACTTCCTTGTCCTCATATGTCCCCCTTTTGCTTTGTATCAATCTCTACTTCCCTTTACCACCAACCTTCTCAGACGACAAATTAACTGGGACTGGCTCTGATCTTACCCCCCCTTTACTCTACTCAGTTCTCTTCAGTCAACAGAATGCCCTAAGTAAGTCATTAATGATCTTCTAATTATCTAGTTTTCATCTTATTTTAAATCTCTGGCATTTGACATTCTTAACCAATTGAAATTCCTAAAATGCCACCTCCTTCCTTTTTTATGATATGGCCTTTACTCAACTCTTACTTCACAGATCTATAACCCCCATAATGATCTTTGTTAATTGAGTCACTCTCTCTCTTCCTATACTCACTTTTTATCGAGGTTTTATCCCTGCTCTTTTTTCTTTTCAGTCTAACAACTTTTAAAAATTATATTTTACCTCATTATCATGACTTCAACTATGGCGTATATTCTGATATTTTTTAAATCAATGTCTGTTGCCTATAACTCTCTTTCAAACTTCAAAACGGATATTTCTAACTACTTTGGAGTGAGGTCCACATAAACAGCCTCAGTTGAACTCAACTTTAACAGGGACAAGTTCAATTTAATATTATGCTAAAGAAAGCACTCCTCTTTTATTGGTACTTTCTCCTATGCACATAACTTTGAAATCCCAAGTCAGTAATGTCCTTTCAGTTATGTTAGCTCATGCGTCTCCTAGGTTTTATTTTGTTGTTAACCTAATCACCATATCTCATTTGATTCTACTGTCTAACCATGTCTTGTGTCTGGTTCGGCTCTTATGTTTGTTGTCATCGGCTTGGTTTGATGTCTCAACTTCTCTTGATTACAGTTTTGCAATAATGTCCTCAAGCTTGTAATCTTGATTACACAGTTATCTAATTTAAATGAAAATTGTTTATATTACTCTATTACACAATGTTTTTAATGCCTTCTCTTTCTTTGTCATTATTTTTAAAAATGTTTTTTATATTTTCATAATCAAGCTCCTGTTGTTATTTCTAACTTTATCTTCTAGCACTTCCCTGTTAGCAGTCTGTCCCAGTTATTCCAACAGCATTTACAGTTTACCCCCCAATCTTAAGAGTATCACAGTAAGGTCTGTATGCACAATCATTTGGGCTGTAACGCTATACTACTATGTTTCTGATTGGAATATCCTTGTTATACTTCAAAAAATTTCCTCATCTGATGCTTCTTCCCTGGGGTGATTCCTGAATCTCATAAACAGAATTAATCACACCAACTTTGGAGTATCTTCATATATTTGTCTGCACATATCTCACTATACTGAAATGTTTCATTTACACATGGGTTTAAAGTTATCCTGTGGCCTTCTGACTGTAGAGTGTGTGCCTGTTACTTTAATTCCTCAGTTCCTAGCACAGTGACTGGATCATAGTAAGCAGTCAATAAATATGTGTCTGCCCACAGGGAATAAGTGTAGGAGGGAGAAGGAGTACATGACAGTCTCATAGTTGTCTAGCATGTAGGCCAGGAATAAGAATCCATGAGGTTAGATGGAGAGAGATTGTGAGTCACCATCCAGTGGAAGATCAGAAGGAAAAGAAGTTCTTTGAACATAATTTTTCTGGGAGTGGAAAGTATAAACAAGGTGGTAACAGCATTCTACAACTAAAATAAAATGAGACTGTATGTTCCTCATTTAATTTTTAAGGAGAGACCTATTACACTACTTAAAAGCCAGTTAAAATAGAGCACCAGATAACCATGGGAAAGCTGCTGATGTGGTACAGTGACAGAAAGAGTCTTGGGAAGTTTGAGAAAACTTTTGAGGCCAGAAGGGAATGGAAAAACTAATCCTGTAAAATAAATTAGCACCCTGAGGACATCCTTTGGCTGATCTTTACTAAGCAAGAGTGTGTTTTACTAAGCTGAGTGTGAAAAGACAGCAGACAAAGCCAAGGCCAATGTCAGGTTGGGTAGGAAGCCACTTCAAAGCCAGAAAAATAGCTCTTCCACTTTGGGAAACAGAAAAATAACTCCCCCAGAGAGGATACATGGAATGCTTAGCCTTGGTTCTTAAACTTGGTTCTTAGAGTAGAAGGAGAGAGAGACAGACAGAGTTAATAAAAACAAAGGTATGTGTATGTGTGTGTGTGTGTATATGTAAATATATGTTTGTATATGTATGCATGTGTGTGTGTTCATATATATATATACACACACATACATACACACACCCAAGATGTATCAATGTTTAAATAGTAATTCAAAGAAAGCCAGTACAGCCTTATTAATATCTGTCAAAATTCTCTTTAAGTTATAAGGTATCACTTATGAGAAAGAGGTTCACTAAATATGACAAAGCATTTAATTCCACAAATTATATATATATTTATATGTATATTTATTATATTATATTTTATTATATAAATATATATATTTACTTTTCTTGCAACTAAGGTCATATTTTGAAAATATATAAGGAAAAATGTCCAGTTTTCCAAACAGAAATTGACAGGCTCATGACTAGAATAACAGATTTTAATATATGTCTGTGATAGATTGTTTAATCTCTCTCTCTCTCTCTCTCCCTCTCTCTCTGTCACACACACACACACATCAGTAAAGATACAAAAGATTTAAACAACAAAACTAACAAGCTTGTACCCAACAACTGAAGAATATAACTATCCCTTTGTAAATAAGAGCCATACTATCCTTTTGGTTTTAATTATATTTCTTTTCACATATTCTTTTCTTCATTTTAACCACAGCATATAAGAAAACACTGTATTCAATATCACATAACTTGTCTGAGACAAGTTTAAGACGTTTTCCTTCTAATTTTCTTACAAAACTAACTTGGTGTTTCTATTTTCATTCATTTTCTTGAAATGCCTCCAAGTTCTCTTCAAATCCAAAAGAATGCTTTACACAAACACAGATTGCTATTTCACAAACATTTTGTCATCTTTGCTCTTCTAGGTGCTTTCCCTTCTCAGCATCACCTCAAAGATTCTTCCCATGAGTCTGAGCCAAGTGTCAGCTCTTCCCCTAGTGGATAGCTTACATAGTGTTTGATGTCAACAAGTCCCTTCTTAGGATGTATTGAGCAGTGAAGGATTAATTTAATAAAGAACATTGCTTTACCCCTAGGAGAATGACAAGTCTTTAAGGTGGAATTGGTCTTTGGAGTTATTCTACTTTTTAAGGTATTTCAACTATTTGTAGACTTTCCATTACCCATTGCCTGACTAATGAATTAACTTGTAACTTCTCAATCATGCAATATTTTCTTCATTTTAATTTATTTTTGCCCCTTTTATGTAGTTAATACATTCATTGGTTAAGACCAAAGCTTTTCTTGCATATATGTATTGTCTTGGGTAAAATTTATGTTCTGTTGAATGCTCTAGCAGAGCAGAAACACTGATAAACATTTTAAACCCCCAATTCCCCTCTTTAATAGTTGCGTGATTTGGCTACTTATATAACCTCACTGT
Organism: Homo sapiens; assembly: GCF_000001405.40. NCBI lineage: Eukaryota > Metazoa > Chordata > Mammalia > Primates > Hominidae > Homo > Homo sapiens. Next base: position 84,233,356 of record NC_000007.14, read on the forward strand.
TCTTTGTTTTCTTTTATACTCCCCTTAAAAAGAAGCAAGGTAAATAGCATTTACTTAATAAAGTTGTTGTGAGGATTAAATGAATGTAGACTATCTGCTACAGGATATTCTGTGTAGTATAATAAAATTTCACAGGAAAATTCACAACTATGCAATTTTTACACATAATGAGAAATGAAAATTGTTTATTGTCAATGAATATAATTTACATTAATAAAGGAATTTTAATTTAAAGATAATAGAAAAGTGAGTCAACATTTTTAAAAAGCCTTGAGAAAGATTTCAACCATGTAATGATATATTCAATAATACCATAGTGCTGTCCCATTCCCTGAACACTTATTGTTAACTGAGTAGATTCTTCCTACTGTTTTCAATTCAGTTTGACTAAATCAAAAGAAAAAATACTTTGAAAGCAACACCTTTACTGTATTTACTGAGAGGCCAAACTATGTCTGGCAAATTTTGCCATGCAAAGATGTAGCAGTGCTTTTGGTGAAGCGTAGAGCCCTGGTAGAAATGCAACATTAACTGGCTCTTCAAATGCCTGAGATAAATGGAATTAATAATAAATGTACAATATTTTGACTACCATGTGAATCTAACCGATGCTCTATACTAAAAAAAAAAGCCTCATTTTTATAAAGTATTTTAGAACCACAATTAGTCCTATTTGTTCATTTGTTTATTATAATGAAAACCATAATACAATAAAAGATGTCAATAGGAACCTGCATAAAAAGTAAATACATTGTTTTACAGGGGATGGGGGGTGTTAGTGATGGCCATTATATCATTTGTTCTCATTCTCTACTTCTAAACTGGAATTGCTTCTAGCTAAATTCTGGATCTTTTAAATACTTTAAAAATCCTACAACCTAATCTTTTCCTAGAATAAAGTCCCCACTTTCTCACCTGAACCAAAACCTGACCTTACTCTGGTGGTGCTATTTACCCTAAAACCCTTCCACACTCATGCTCATGAAGAGGCTAGTGTTCTCTTAATCCTCACTGCCACATTGAGACCATTGCCCTGGCATCATTTATCAGTAACTTTTCTACTTTTGACACACACGATATTCAGTTATGCTGCCTTCTTTACATTGATTTGTCTTTATCTCTCTACTACATGGGGTTCTCTTTTGCTCATTGATCTAAATCTGCTGTGATCACAATATTCTTTGATTACCCTTCCTGCTCTGGTTCTTAACATTCAAACTGAGGAGTCTTTGAACCATACCCTTGTTGCGCTTGGGCGTCTTCAACTCCAAAGACCTCGATTTTTATTTTACCCATATGTTTCTCTTGACTTTTTCTATTCTTATAAGTTTTATCCCCTCCATTCCAGCCCCAACACTCACTGCAGGCTTATTCCTTTTACATTTAATAGCAGGCAGTTTCATTATTTATTTTATATATCTGTAGATTTACTAATTACTCATTCTGACCTTCTGCCTGCCGTGTGTGTGCCATTTCAATTTTCAAATCTAGGGTAATCTTTTGTAGTTTCATTACTGAGTACTGAGCATTGTTGGAGAAGGTCAAATTACAAAGGTAATTCTATTACAGATGAATTCTAACTAATATCAGTTAATATCCCCATGCTGTTTTCCTGCGTTTTTACTCTGCATGTGGCATAAGGGGAAACTTTTACATCAACTTGTCTAGAGCGCAACTTCATGGAAACATTCTGAAGGGGCATTAGGTAATATATACGAAAATGATTTAAAAATAAATTCTTTAAAACAGGAAGGCCATTATTAGCAAATTATCCAAAGACAAATATCAGATATGTGTACAAATATGTATTTTTTCAATTGTTCATAATGGACTTGTTAAATAAACTATGTAAGTATAGTAGACTAGTATGCATTCATTAATTGCACATTATATTAATAATGACAAGATATTTTTCTGTATTACTGAGTGAAATGAAAGATAAACTGGTATGATGCATATGATTATATACATGACTTTATATTTAATATATGCAATCATTTATAAGTGTCTTGTATGTGAATAATTGTATGTATTTTGTAGTTTGGAAAAATGTTAGCTGGATTATCAATAATTATTGATTTCTGGTATTGAAATTTTGATTACTTTTGATATTATTGTTTCTTCTTTATTTCTTTATTTTCTTCTCCATATTTTCAATATTACTTGAAATATCTGCATGAATAAATATTATTGGAATAAGAAAAATGATACAGTAAACGCTATTAATTTTTTTAAAAAGTAGTTTGGGTATAATTGTTTTAATTCTTAATTCCTCTTCTCCATTTTGTGTCCCAACAAACTAGAATCTACTTTCCTCACTCCAACTATTCTACTAAAGTGGTTCTCATAAAGACCAATTATCAATGAGCTTATTATCCAACCCAAGTACCCTCTACTCTTGGGCAACAAAGAGAACTCTAACATGGTCGAGTATACTGTCTTCATGAAAACATAGCTACTTTAGACCATACTTTATGCCATTGCATCTCAAGCTCTTTCACCAGTTTATTTTCCTTCACTTGGCCCCTAAGAACAGATGTTTCCTAAGGCCCCATGTTTAGGGTGTATTCCTTTTCACCCTACACACTTTTAACTAATCTATTTTCCTCCCACAACTTCAAGTATCAACCTCACTGGATGATTCTCAAATCATTATCAAAACATCAAAGGCACATGCCTAATTGGCTACTGTTTACTGCACAAAACCAGCCTGATGTCACCTCAAATTGCACAGGTGCAAATTAGAATTCATTTGTTTCTCTTCCAAACTTTCCCCTATGCCTTCAATTTTAAGTGCACCACTGGCCACTCTCCTTTGCTTGGGTTAAAAATTTTAGTTTTCTTGAACTTCCTCTTCCTCCTGTCTTTTAGCTAGTCACCACATCTGTATTGATTATGTGTCTATCACACATTTGTCAGTGGGCGAATGAAGTAAAGTTTCAGATGAGGTGTTATTTCCTTTATGTTCCCAGTTATACTAGACTAATTTGGACATTAATCACTTCTATCCTAGATATCCAATATAACCTCCTAACAGAAGTTTCTAACTCTCCCTTCAGTTACACAGTCATCAGTATTAATTCGCTAAAATTCTGAATATGATTGCCTCTCTTTGCAAGAGAAAATGAACATTACTAAAATATTAGTTTGGCATTTCAGGCCCTTCCTCCAAGATGTTATTGCAATCTTCCTGTTTAACTTCCTTTTCCATGCATAGTTTATCTTTATCTCGCAAATACTCTATTAGTCACTAATGACTAATCCCATTCTCCTAAGAGCAAGACTTTTCCATCTATGATATTAATTTGATATAGAAAAAGAGTTTGAAATTCACTTGGAATACAGGTAATTATTGATTTTGCCCTACTCTCTTGATCGTTTTGCCTCAGTCTATCAAAACCAATTCAAGTGTGTTATCTTCCAATACCTTGAACAAATCTCTCTTCCCCTGTCATTTATGGAGTGTACATCTGAGGTAGAAAATATTTCAGTTAATTCTATATGTGAGTCACCTTCATGATTGTGAATACCCTCAAAGCAGAGGTCTTAAAAAGGATAGATTGTGTTAATTACCTGGAAAAAAAATGGCAGTAAGTGATATACTTAAAGCAATATCATATATATTCTATTTAAAATAAATTTAACTGTGTTGGAAAGGAAGGGAAGGAAGTTAAACTTACATTCTAAAATTTAAAACGACCAAATAAATAAATCGGGAAAAGCAATGCCCAACATTAATAGTGAAAACATATTTTTAAAATAATTAACACCTGAATCATAATTAGCAACTAAGTGTAGGAAGAAACTGATGATGCTGAAAACAAAATGTGTTTAATTTATCCCAGAGTTAAGGAAAAGACAAACATATGTAGGTAAGTGAATTTCTGAGCACCAATTTCTTAGCAACCACAGTCTAACTTATCAAATTTAAGATTAAGATTTGAGATAGTTTATATCAACAGGTAAATTTCATTATTAAGCAATTAGCCACTCATTGTCTTACTCAAACTTACTACTCACTGAGTTAATACAACATACAAGACATAGTATTAGGGAAAATGTCTTTAAGAAGTTCATAATCAATAAAAGAGAAGAAGAACGAAGAGAAGAAGGGAGAGGAGGAAGGAGATGAGAGGTATGGGAGGGACAGACAAAAGTAATATTAAATGCTTACAACATACCACCCATTTTTCTAAGTGGTTTACATTATCATCTCTTATACTGTGACAAGATAGATACTATTATTGTCTTTATTATATAGATAAGGGAACTGACGCATGATGTGACCAAATAACTTCTTAACATGAATCACCCAGCAAAGGGTGATTCATGAAATCACTGAGTTTCATGAGTGATTCATGAAATCTGAGCTGAGTTTCAATCACAGAACATACATCCTGCTCTGTAGTTTATGCCTTTAGTCACTATGGTTTACTATAGTTAACATACTGTGCTGAGACCCAGATGCAACCAATTAATAGAAACATACTTCAGGAATGCCTTTAAAAAATTCTGTGAGAATGCAGATTAGTGTGGGAATTCCTGTTGACTGAAGTCCTAACAGAAAACTTAACCATAAAAAGAAGACAGTACTATCATAGGCCACCATCTCTATGGAGGAATAGCAAGGCTGTATTGGAAGTACTAAGGAAGCCAGATTTGGTGGAGTATGGGTGTTTTGGGGAACAATAGATGAGAGTGCCCCAGAGGATATTCAATTTTTTTTTTTCTTTAGATGGAGTCTCACTCTGTCACCCAGACTGGAGTGCAGTGTGATCTTGGCTCACAGCAACCTCTGCCTCCCAGGTTCAAGGGATCCTCCTGCCTGAGCCTCCCAAGTATCTGGGATTACAGGTGCCCACCACCACACCAGGCTAATTTTTGTATTTTTAGTAGAGACAAGATTTCACCAAGTTGGCCAGGCTGGCCTTGAACTCCTGACCTCAGGTGATCCGCCTGCCTCAGCCTCCCAAAGTGCTGGGATTACAGGTGTGAGCCATCGTGCCTGGTGGAATAACCAATTTTCAACTGAACTTGAGTACAGGACAGTGAATAATCTACAGTAGGCACAGTGGAAGTCTACACCACTTAATTTTTATTCATGTATTTAAATCGGCTTCCTCCAAACTTGTGGTTTAAAGAATGGAGTGAGGAGAAATAATAGCTTATGAATAAATTACTGATAATCACTCATACATAATATTAACTTAATTTTTACAAGTAAATATAGAGATGGAAAACCTTTCTGCAATAGTTCTGTTTTCTGAAACAATTTTAAATAATTCATTCCATATACAAAACTGTTTGCAAAAGTGCACATGTAGGCATCTCTCTCTTTTAACTATATCATGAAAACTACAATAATTTTTTTTTTTTTGATACGGAGTCACGCTCTGTTGCTCAGGCTGGAGTACGGTGGCATGATCTCAGCTCACCACAACCTCCACTTCCCTAGTTCAAGCAATTCCCCTGACTCAGCCTCCCGAGTAGCTGGGACTACAGGAGCATGCCATCACACCTGGCTAATTTTTTTGCAGTTTTAGTAGAGGCAGGGTTTTACCATGTTAGCCAGACTGGTCTCCAACTCCTGACCTCAGGCAATCCGCCTGCCTCGGCCTCTCAAAGTACTGGGATGACAGGCGTGAGCCACCATGCCCGGCCAAAAACTACAATGATTTAAAGCCATGTAGCAAACCTAAAAACTTAAAGAATGTAGACCAAAAATAATTATATCATAATGCTAATATTAAAATAAGTTTTTAAAAATAAAAATAATACATTAACATATTTCAGAATAGTCTGCAAGATTTCATGATTGTGCAACTGTGAATATTTGCTTTAGGTAAAACCAAGCATTTAAAAAATTAATAGTTTTTTAATTATCTACTTATTCAAAAGTTTAATTCTCATAAGGAAATTATTTTTTGATTTGTAAAACATTAGGTGTTTTATCTAAAACAATCAAGCAAAGGCTTTTGTTGAAAATAAATTTAATATTTTGCCCATGGGCAATTGTACTCACTAAATACTCTGTAAGTAATCCACTTTTTGTGGCCAAGTGGCATACTCATTTTACACCCAAATATGAAAGAGAAATGGAAGACATGGGTAATAAATAATATTTTAGAAATACTGGAACTGTTACTTGAGGGAATAATTACAGAACAATTTTTGAGAGTCTTGTATAATGAATTCATTTTTAAAGCATCTGGTTATCTTTCTGACTAAAAATGCAGTGCCAATTATATTTTATAGTTAGCAATTTCTTTTTATAGTTTAGAAATTGGATCGTAAAAAAACAACTGTAATTTTTCTAACATATTTTTAAGAATAAAATGATCTGATACACTAAATTAGAGGACTTAGGACTTAAAGCTAAACCACATACTAATTTTTACCATCTTTGGAGGCCATCTTAATGAAACTGATTTTGTGAATGTTATAGATGCATACACATTTATTACTGTCACTGTGAGTCTAGTCAAAGAATATTCTGATTTGAAATAAAGAGGTCATAAAAAATTTACCTGTCCCAAATAAATATTAAGTTGTGATGCAGTATGGTAGATTAATATTTTCTATTATTTCATTGGTCAGACTAATGTTAGAAGAATGTTTTAATTAAAAGCAATATATATAACTATAATGCCACAGTATCCTATAAATTTTTAAGTGTTTCAAATTACCAATTTATACCCAAGTGGTAGGTTGGTCTGTAGGATCCCAAAAGAAACAATACTGCTTGTAAATATTTTAAAACTAACAAACACCAAAACTAGTCTATAGTATATTCAAATGGAGAGTAAAGATGGGAGAGAGATTTATAAGAAGTCTTAAAAATACATAAGCAAATATTTAACTTGTTATGCATAATTTTTAAAAAAAGATTTTAGTAGGTTGAATAATGGCCACTCAAAGATCTTTAATGCCTGGAAACTGTGAATGTTACTTTGAGTGGCGAAGTTTTGCAGATATGATTAAGTTAACGATCTTGAGATAAAGAAATTTCTTGTTATCCCTGTTTGGTCCCTAAATGTCATCACAAATGTCCTTATAAGAGAGAGGGCGGGGGGATTGGGCATATACCCAGAAGGCCAAGGCCATGGAAGATGGAAGTAGAAAGAAAGATTTGAAGATGTTACATTGCTGACTTGAGGAAAGGGCCACGAGAGAGGGAAGATAAATTCAGAAATTGGAAGAGGCAAGGAAGAGATTATCCCTTAGAGCCTCGCAAAGAAGCATGGGACAGCTAACACATTGATTGGATCCAGTGGTACTAATGCTGAACATGTGCAGAGTGGGCAGGTTTGTTCCATAGGTATACATGTGCCATGGTGGTTTGCTGCACTCATCAACCCATCATGTACATTAGGTGTTTCTCCTAATGCTAGCCCCCTCTAGCCCACCACCGCCTGACAGGCCCCTGTGTGTGATGTCCCCCTCCCTGGGTCCATGTGTTCTCATTGTTCATCTCCCACTTAAGAGTGAGAACATGCTGTGTTTGGTTTTCTGTTCCTGTGTTAGTTTGCTGAGAATGATGGTTTCCAGCTTCATCCACGTCCCTTCAAAGAACATGAATTCATCCTTTTTTATGGCTGCATAATATTCCATGGTGTATGTGTGCCACATTTTCTTTATCCAGTCTATCGTTGAAGGGTGCTTGGGTTGGTTCCAAGTCTTTGCTATTGTGAACAGTGCTGCAATAAACATACATGTGCTGGTGCCTTTATAGTAGAATGATTTATAATCCTTTGGGTATATACCCAGTAATGGGGTTGCTGGGTCAAATGGTATTTCTGGTTCTACATCCTTGAGGAATCACCATACTGTCTTCCAAAATGGTTGAACTAATTTACACTCCCACCAACAGTGTAAAAGCATTCCTATTTCTCTACATCTTCTCCAGCATCTGTTGTTTCCTGACTTTTTAATAATCACCATTCTAACGGCATGAGATAGTATCTCATTACGGTTTTGATTTGCATTTCTCTAATGACCAGTGATGATGAGCTTTTTTTCATATGTTTATTGACCGCATAAATGTCTTCTTTTGAGAAGTGTCTGCTCATATCCTTGGCTCACTTTTTGATGGAGTTGTTTATTTGTTTCTTGTAAATTTGTTTAAGTTCCTTGTAGATTCTGGATATTAAGGCTTTGTCAGATGGATAGATCGCAAAAATTTTCTCCCATTCTGTAGGTTGCCTGCTCACTCTGATGATAGTTTTTTTGTTTGTGTTTTGTTTGTTTGTTTGCTGTGCAGAAGCTCTTTAGTTTAATTAGATCCCATTTGTCCATTTTGGCTATTGTTGCCATTGCTTTTAGTATTTTAGTCATGAAGTCTTTGCCCATGCCAATGCCCTGAATGGTATTGCCTAGGTTTTCTTCTAGGGTTTTTATGGTTTCAGGTCTTACGTTTTAGTCTTTAATCCATCTTGAGTTAATTTTTGTATAAGGTGTAAGGTAGGGGTTCATTTTCAGTTTTCTGCATAGGGCTAGCCAGTTTTCCCAAAAGCATTTATTAAATAGAGAGTCTTTTCTCCATTACTTGTTTTTGTCAGGTTTGTCAAAGATCAGACAGTTGTAGATCTGTGGCATTATTTCTGAGGCCTCTGTCCTGTTCCATTGGTCTATATATCTGTTTTGGTACCAACACCATGCTGTTTTGGTCACTGTGGCCTTGTAGTATAGTTTCAAGTCAGGTAGCATGATGCCACCAGCTTTGTTCTTTTTGCTTAGGATTGTCTTGGCTATACAGGCTCTTTTTTGGTTTCAGATGAAACTTAAAGTAGTTTTTTTCTAATTCTGTTAAGAAAGTCAATGGTAGTTTGATGGGGATAGTATTGAATCTATAAATTCGTTTGGGCAGTATGGCCATTTTCACGATACTGATTCTTTCTGTCTATGAGCATGGAATGTTTTTCCATTTGTTTGTGTCCTCTCTTATTTCCTTGAGCAGAGGTTTGTAATTCTCCTTGAAAAGGTCCTTCACATCCCTTGTGAATTATATTCCTAGGTATTTAATTATCTTTGTAGCAATTGTGAATGGGAGTTCACTCATGATTTGACTCTTCGTCTATTATTGGTATAGGAATGCTTGTGATTTTTGCACACTGATTTTGTATCCTGAGACTTTGCTGAAGTTGCTTATCTGCTTAAGGTGATTTTAGACTGAGACAATGGGGTTTTCTAAATATACAATTATGTCATCTGCAAACAGAGACAATTTGACTTCCTCTCTTCCTACTTGAATACCCCTTGAATACCCTATGTTTCCTTCGCTTGCCTGATTGCCCTGGCCAGAACTTCCAGTACTATGTTGAATAGGAGTGGTAAGAGAGGGCATCCTTGTCTTGAGCCAATATTCAAAGGGAATGCTTCCAGCTTTTGCCCATTCAGAATGATATGGGCTGTGGGTTTGTCATAAATAGCTCTCATTATTTTGAGATATGTTCTATCAATACCTAGTTTATTGAGAGTTTTTAGCCTGAAGGGGTGTTGAATTTTATTCAAGGCCTTTTCTGCATCTATTGAGATAATTGTGTGGTTTTTGTCATTGGTTCTCTTTATGTGATGGATTATGTTTATTGATTGGATTATGTTTATTGATTTGTGTATGTTGAACCAGGCTTGCATCCCAGGGATGAAGCCGACTTGATGTGGTGAATAAGCTTTTTGATGTGCTACTGGATTCGGTTAGTATTTTATTGAAGATTTTCATATCGATGTTCATCAGGGATATTGGCCTGAAATTTTCTTTTTTTGTTGTGTCTCTGCCAGGTTTTGGTATCAGGATGATGCTGGCCTCATAAACTGAGTTAAGGAGGAGTTCCTCTTTTTCTATTGCTTGGAGTAGTTTCACAATGAATGGTACCAGCTGCTCTTTGTAACTCTGGTAGAATTCGGCTGTGAATCTGTCTGGTCCCGGGAATTTTTGTTGGTAGGCTATTAATTACTGCCTGAGTTTCAGAACTTGTTATTGGTCCATTCAGGGATTCGACTTCTTCCTGGTTTAGTCTTGGGTGGGTGTATTTGTCCAGGAATTTATCCATTTCTTCTAGACTTTCTAGTTTATTTGCGTAGAGGTGTTTACAGTATTCTCTGATGATAGTTTGTATTTCTGTGGGATCAGTGGTGATCTCCCCTTTATCATTTTTTATTGTGTCTATTTGATTCTTCTCTCTCTTCTTCTTTATTAGTTTGCCTAGTGGTCTGTCTATTTTGTTAATCTTTGCAAAAAACCAGCTTCTGGATTCATTGATTTTTTTTGTGAAGGGGTTTTCATGTCTCTATCTCCTTCAGTTCTGCTCTGATTGTAGTTATTTCTTGTCTTCTGCTAGCTTTTGAATTTGTGTTCTTGCTTCCATTCTCCTGTGGGCATTTAGTGCTATAAATTTCCCTCTAAACACTGCTTTAGCTGTGTCCCAGATATTCTGGCACCTTGTGTCTTTGTTGTCATTGGTTTCAAAGAACTTATTTATTTCTGCCTTAATTTCTTTATTTACCCAGTAGCCATTCAGGAGCAGGTTGTTCAGTTTCCATGTAGTTGTGTGGTTTTGAGTGAGTTTCTTAATCCTGAGTTCTAATTTGTTTACACTGCGGTCTGAGAGACTGTTATGATTTCTGTTCTTTTGCATTTGCTGAGGAGTGTTTTACTTCCAATAATGTAGTCAATTTTAGAATAAATGTGATGTGGTGCTGAGAAGAATGTATATTCTGTTGATTTGGGGTGGAGAGTCCTGTAGCTGTCTATAGGTCCCCTTGGTCCAGAGCTGAGTTCAAGTCCTGAATATCCTTGTTAATTTTCTGTCTCATTGATCTAATATTGACAGTAGGGTGTTAAAGTCTCCCACTATTATTGTGTAGGAGTCTAAGTCTCTTTGTAGGTCTCTAAGAACTTGCTTTATGAGTCTGGGTGCTCCTGTATTGGGTGCATATATATTTAGGATAGTTAGCTCTTCTTGTTGCATGATCCCTTTACCACTATATAATGCCCGTCTTTGTCTTTTTTGTTCTTTGTTCGTTTAAAGTCTGTTTTATCAGAGACTAAGATTGCAACCCCTGCTGTTTTTGCTTTCCATTTGCTTGGTAAATATTCCTCCATCCCTTTATTTTGAGTCTATGTGTGTCTGTGCACATGAGATGGGTGTCTTAAATAGAGCACACGGATGGGACTTAACTCCTTATACAATTTCCAGTCTGTGTCTTTTAATTGGGGCATTTAGCACGTTTACATTTAAAGTTAATATTGTTACGTGTGAATTTAATCCTGTCATCATTATGCTAGGTGGTTATTTTGCCCATTAGTTGATGCAGTTCCTTCATAGCCTTGATAGTCTTTACAATTTTGTGTTTTTTTAGTGGCTGTTACCAGTTTTTCCTTTCCATATTTAGTGCTTCCTTCAGGAGCTCTTGTAAGACAGGCCTGATGGTGATTTTCTTCTTTCAGCATTTGCTAGTCTGTAAAGGATTGTATTTCTCCTTTGTTTATGAAGCTTAGTTTGGTTGGATATGAAATTCTGGGTTGAAAATTCTTTGCTTCAAGAATGTTGAATATTGGCCCTCACTTTCTTCTGGATCCTAGGGTTTCTGCAGAGAGATCCACTGTTAGTCTGATGGGCTTCCCTTCGTGGGTAACCCGACCTTTCTCTCTGGCTTCCCTTACCATTTTTTTCCTTCATTTCATCCTTGGTGAATCTGACGATTATGTGTCTTGAGATTGCTCTTCTCGAGGAATATCTTTGTGGTGCTCGCTGTATTTCTTGAATTTGAATGTTGGCCTGTATTGCTAGGATGGGGAAGTTCTCCTGGATAAATATCCTGAAGAGTGTTTTCCAACTTGGTTCCATTCTCCCCATCAGTTTCAGGTACACCAATCAAATACAGCTTTGATCTTTTCACATAATCCCATATTTCTTGGAGGCTTTGTTCGTTCCTTTTCATTCTTTTTTCTCTAATCTTGTCTTCACACTTTATTTCATTAAGTTGATCTTCAATCTCTGATATCCTTTCTTCTACTTGATCAATTTGGCTATTGATACTTGTGTATGCTTCATGAAGTTATCGTGCTGTGTTTTTCGGCTCCATCAGGTCATTTATGTTCTTCTCTAAACTGGTTATTCTAGTTAGCAATTCCTCTAACCTTTTTTCAAGTTTCTTAGCTTCCTTGCATTGGGTTAGAACATGCTTCTTTAGCTCAGAGGAGTTCATTATTACCCACCTTCTGCTTGTTAGTTTTTCTTCTAATAGTCAGGCCCCTCTGCTGCAGGTCTGCTAGAATTTGCTGGAGGTCCACTCCAGACCCTGTTTGCCTGGGTAGCACCAGTGGAGGCTGCAGAACAGCAAAGATTGCTGCTTGTTCCTTCCCCTGGAAACTTTGTCCCAGAGGGACACCCACAAGATGCCAGCTGGAGTTCTACCATATGAGGTGTCTGTTGACCCCTGCTGGGAGGTATCTCTCAGTCAGGAGGCATGGGGGTCAGGGACCGACTTGAGGAGGTGGTCCATCCCTTAGCAGAGCTCAAGCACTGTGCTGGGAGATCTGCTGCTTTCTTCAGAGCAGGCAGGCAGGAATGTTTAAGTCAGCTACAGCTGTGCCCATAGCCGCCCCTTTCCCCAGGTGCTCTGTCCCAGGGAGATGGGAGTTTTATCTGTAAACCCCTGACTGGGGCTGCTGCCTTTCTTTCAGAAATGCCCTGCCCGGGGTGGGAGGAATCCAGAGAGGCAGTCTGGCTACAGCAGGATTTGCAGCATTGCAGTGGGCTCCGCCCAGTCTGAACTTCCTGGTGGCTTTGTTTACACTCAGTTGGAAATGCAGAAATCACCCGCCTTCTGTGTTGGTCTTGCTGGGAGCTGCTGATGGGAACTGTTCCTATTAGGCTATCCTGCCCAGGAATACAATTTCGTTGTTTTAAGTCATTAAGTTTGTAGTAATTTGTTACAGCTGCGCCAGAAAATTAAAACAAGGACTTTCCAAGCATAAAACCAATGGAAAAGTGGTTTAAAAATGCACTTGACAACATAAAATCTTAAACTTACGTATGTCAAAAATAAAATGAAATATAAACTGTTCATATGGTTTTGCTAAAGACATTAAAAAGGATTAATAATTTCAATATATAAAAAATGACTAACACCCCCAAATTAAAATAAGACAGAGGTTATATATAGTTACACAATCTCTGAAATAAGAAATTCAACAGATAAAATATACATGTATATTATATATCCAAAATGAAAAGTAATCATATAAATGCAAATGAACTAATAATTGCTACTAATTTGTCAAAATTCTCAAACTCTCTTTTTTTTTCAGTATAGATGGGAGTATAAAATTTGAATACTAGCATCCTCTTCTCATGGGAGGACAAACTATATCATCCTAGAAAATAGCTTGATATGTATACATGTACAAGGAACTATAAGTGTGTGTTTTTGGCTCTGTAATTTAACTTTTAAAAATTAGTCTTAAGGGAGTCATCAGAATGATTTATACAAGGTTATTTTTCACAGAGCTATTTATAGTAGAAAATGATTGAAATAAAAGCAAGAGCTTAACAATATGAGAATATATTTATAATTATTACAAAATGATATAATGTAATACAAAGGGATGACATGATTATAAATTATGGTTTTTAAGTGTCATTAATGCCATCAAAAATGTTTTTAGTGGTGAAATCTAAAAGCCTAAGGAAAAAGTAAAATATCAGATTGATATTTGATATCAGTATATAGAAATTTGTGGCAGTAAAACAAACCAAGAAGAATTATGAGAAGGTACATTTAAAAAGCAAGCACAGAAAGACTTATCCGATTTTTGTAATAGCTAATTCTGCATGGCAGTTATGTAGGTGAATTAGTTTTCTTATTTTTAATCTCCAGTGGTTTTATAATGAAGTTTTATTAGCTTTACAAATTTTTAAAACATAACTACTTCCACTTCACAGAATATGTATAGCACACATCCATGTATTCAACATCAAGATTAACATATTGTCATATTTGGTTCTAGTCCATCATATTTTCTAGTTTTTAGAAAAATTGAAAAAATGACAATATAAAAAGTAGGCTCCCTCTCTGTCTGTTTCTAGTTAACAGTTATAATAAAGTTGGTATGGATAACATATGTAATTGGGAAAAATGATATTAAAATTTTAAAGAAAATAAAACCTTTGGTTAAGAAGGGTTAAGCCAATAAAGAGTAACATAACTTCCCAATATTTACAGCAAAACATTTTGACTGGCCAGGCAGACAAAGGAAGAAGAAGAAAAGGAAATTATCTGCAAGATGTAGAATAAATAGCTGTTTTTGCTTCTAAAATTCATTTAATAAACTCAATGATCCACTGGAGAGTGCGTAAACCATAGTAACTCCCCTTACCCCAGTGAACACTCACCACCTGGTAACTGTTGGTAGTTGTCCAGAAGGGTGTGTGAGAGTACTACTGCCCTGAAAGTATGAGTCTTAGAAGAACTTAAAAAACTACAGACAGTGATGACTCAGTGTTTAGAAGGTAAAATATGTGATAAGTTTAAATTATTTCTTCAAGGTCCTTTAAGCATGATTTACCTTCTGGATTACATCTGCATGAATTGACTACCTAGGCTCTTTTATAGTTTATATATTATGTTTATATTTTCAACATGAATAATTCTGCTTTGTGTTGGGCAGTATAAAGAAGTCATTCCCTTGTCACCATCCGATAAATAAATGCATACATAAATAATCATTCATACTATCTTCCTTTATTGCTTCAATATAAAAACCGGCATATGTGGTCTCCTTTCCAGTAAATGACAAACATAATGAATACTTAAAATATATATTTAAAGATAGTTTCCCCATGTTGATATTTTCCCTCAATTCTCCGCTTTCTCTTCAAATAACTTTTAGCTTGTCCTTTAAAGTGGCTGTTAATAATGTATTTGAGGGAAAATTATTAAAATGGATTTTTTTAAGGTACTTCAAATTCTTGACCATGCCACTCTGACAAATTAAGCACAAGTACTTTCTGCAGCCCTCCTGTGCATGTGCTATATGCCCGGCATGCAAATACTTCACAGCAAAAGGGAACTGGGAAAAAACCTTTTGCTTGGAGGCTGTGGCATGTGGTCAAGCAAATAATTTCATCATAAACTGAGCATTCACATGTCTTTTTGTGAGAGTCAGCAGATACACATTTATGTTCCTCTACAATATGTCTCTATTCTGCCTAGTGATAAACACTGCTTTTTTTTTAGCTCTATTATCTATGAGTTAAAATATTTTTTTCAGACACGTTTCAATAAACAGCACGTCAGTGATTGTCTATAGTGTTAAAAGGTTTTCTCTAAGCATATCTCCTAAAACAACTCCACTCTTTGATCTCTCTCTCTCTGATCCTCCCTCCCTCCCTCCCTCTCTCTCTTTTTAAAATTACGCAGTAAGTTTTAGGAGGGTCTGTACCTAGGAGAGACTACAAAAACGTTCCTTAAGACATAATAGCCCAGCGTTCCCACTATGAGGGAGTGTGAGGCTTCAAGGAACAGGAAACTTACTGCTCCTCAGAGACTGCATCTTCCCTCATGGCATGATCTGGGTCAATGGAAGGCTACATTTGACTAGATGTCTATGAACAAGTTCTAACCTCATGAGGAATGAGAGTCATGGGTGTATCTAGGCTTGGCAAATCATATGCAATATTTCATGCAGTTCAACTTTTCGCTTCCCTGTTTCAGAAGAATAAAGTGCTTCTCTGAACTCTGCTGGATTGCCAGTCCTCTGGCTCCTCAAGTGAGCCATGTTCCTGCCTTAGCTACTGTATCTGGAGATTGCCCAGAATCTAAAGTATCTCTAAAGGGTCATTCTTCAAACCCGCCCCTCTACTTGTATTTACCCACACTGAAACACTTTTAGATTAACTTCCAGTAGATAGAATTTGTTTTGAGAATAGCAATTGAGACCAAGATGGAAAGGAAATTAGTAAGGAGGAGATTTGTGCTGGTCACAGTCTCTCTCTCTCTCTCTGTCTATCATCTATCTATCTATCTATCTATCTATCTATCTATCTATCTATCTATCTATCATCTACATATATATAGATATATACATATTTAACTTCTTTTTGCCAATACATGCAGGTAAAATAAACACATCTGGCTTTCCTGTTCCCCATGGTGATGGGTTAAGATATATTTTTCATATACACAAGTTTCAGTAAATAATATATCAACTATTGTTTATAGTGCTAAAAATGTATTCATTAGGAATGCCACCTGTTTTTAAAGAGATAAAACCAAATACTATATGATACTGAAAAGAACCATGATTCCAGGTCTTATGTCATGTAATATGTGGAATTAGCAGTGCATTTGAGTCTGGTTCCAACTCTTAAAACACTAAATATGTCATCTTGGGCAAGTTACATCATCTTCCTGAGATTCCTTTCTAAAAAAAAAAAAAATTGTCAAGTACCTCTCTGCCTTATACAATTATTTCAGAAGTCAAGTGAGGTAAAAAATAAGAAAATTATTTACATAAAATAAAATAGGCTGTGCTTGCATAATGCTCTAAGGAAGGGGAAGCAGTTGCATCCTGTTTTTTTTTTTTTACTCTGAGACTGGTATTCTTTCTAATTGACTCTGCTCAAACGTATGAAATATTATTACCACATTTCAACAAGCCTGATTTCTTTCCTCTCTAATCCAAAATTATAGACTTCTGAAGTCTTCAGACATCATATTGCAAAGAGAAAATCTTATAATCAGTTACTTGCTGGGGATATATAAACTATACTGGTGTGTGATTTCTTTTGAAAAATTAATGTATAGAAACATATAATTAGGCATAAAACACAATTTCTTATGTATCACTTTATTACTTAGAGATATATAAAAATTTACATTTTGGTTACATTAATATTTTTTTTTTTCATCTGTGGTTTAAAACCAAACCAAAAAAAGAAAAAAAAAGTAACATTTAACTGTTTAATTGCTTCCATTTTGTTTGGGAAACTTAACCTCAATTTAACCTTTGTGGCTACTGTGCAAGTCAAAATCAAATGACTTTGACGATCTCAGTCCCAGAATAATAAACTCACTGGGGGCTTTAAACCTCTTTACCTTTAGCAGGGGGAGCTGAGCAGTCTTCAACTTGTTTGTGTTCATTGATTGATAATGAGCAGTTTCTCTGTCTACATCTGTGTGGGACCATGTGAGGTCTGCTTTAGCCTGCTGGGAGTTGAGAGGAGGGAGAGGCAATCACAGTGTGTTTAAAAAATTGTTCTAAGGATGACATTTGGGAGGCAAATATTTTGGCCACAAGCCAATGTAATTTTTTTTAATGCTAAGACAAGCTTGGCACTTTACATTTAACTTTAATCTGTTTTCATAATTCAATATAAATTGACACATCACTATTTCTATGTAATGGAAAGTTTCTTCAAGTGGTTACCTCTATCAATAGGTTATTTTTAAAATACAGTTATGGAATTTTATTCTGATTTCATCATTTGCTTAAAAAAATCTATTAGGCCTCAACTTTTACTTGTCAATTATTAAATACCAGTTTCTTGCTTTTGTTTTCTATTCAATTTGACAAAGTATGCGTATGTCCAGCACGCAGATAATCTCCTCAAGAGTCAATTTTTTCTTATTAAATGGAGATGAGACAGTAGCGATGAAATTCACAGAGCTTACTCTTACTAAGGGTTTCTCTTATCTTTAAAATTTCAAAGTATAAATAGGTTCAAATATAACCATTGCATTTTTGCCATTTATGTAACAAAAGAAAGGTATGTCAAATTTCAACATATCTATGGTTTAATGACACCATTAATTTCTTTGTTCTATGCGACTGACTAACTTTAATGATATCAACATTCTGGTTCAATATCGTGTTTTCAGAAGCATTGGTTAAAATGAAAAATGTCATTTGTTGATCCAAGGTACTATGTTTTGGAAGTGATCAAGAGAGCAGCTGGGCTGGAATTTCCGATTGAGGAATTCCAGGAGGTTAGGAGCCAGGAGAGCTGATTTACATGATTGTTAGCCAAGAGTGTGCTTCCAAGTGGACAGGAGGACTTGAAGCCAGTACACATGGTCAGAAGAACTAACTCCAGCATAAGCAGCAGGTTCTCATTTATTCTTAAGTGAGGACATCCATGCTAAAGTGAAGACAGAGAGATTGTCTTTGAGCCAGAAGGCTGACTCAAGAAAACTATATTCCTTTATATCTTGAAAGGCTATTCATGGAGTGGGTGTCCCACAGAAACCAAGCTACACAGTTAGTGACCGCCCTAGCACTCTTTACATAAAACTTATTATTATGTGACTCATCCAGCCTCACCACATACTGAGCTTCTCCTAAGCAGCAAAAGCCGTTTGTTTTATCCTGAGAGTGACTGGTAGGATTTCCTGGGTCACTGAATCTGTAGAATTCTTACAAAATTTAGAAGCTCTTTTCTGATTAACCAAGAACAAGAGAACCTAGACCTTCTTTTCCTACTCATGTGAGCTACTGATTAAAGAATGAGGATTAATATAATCACTAATGTGATTCAGCGTTCACAAAATAAAAAGAAAACAATTGCGGAGAACATATACTTATTGAGACTAGAGAATTTGGAGGGGGAATTATTCTTATAATAAATAAAACCACAAGAATAATATGGCTTTTAAAATGTCCTGTAATTCCAAAAAAGTAATTCTACCTGAGGTCAAAATGATGTAAATTTGAATACTCATCCGAATCCAGCAATGGACTCTTCTGAGTAACTGCTAGAGTGGATAGAAAGTACATCCTCCCAGCAATCCTCTTCCCTGAATGTCATTGTTCCCTGCAGAGACTTTGGTAAGTGTTCAGGAGGAGTAAGATCAGTGTCAGACCACTTAATTGTTACCTGGTGGGCATCATTCTATGGTATTGCTGAAGTGTAGCATCACATAATTTAACAGTCAGTCATGTGGAAATAGAATTGACAGTCACTTCTGAAAGAAGAAAGATGAGAAAACAATTCGTAGTCAAATAGAAGGGTACTGACCTCCATATAAAGGCAAACCACGCAATAACACAGAAAGAAAGAATTTTTCCAGATGTGGTATTGAGTCTGCTATAGCACACACAGCAAAATGGGCTACATGTAACAGAGCCATTGTTGAAAGTGAAGTCTCCTTCATCAGTTATGAACCTGTCATAAAAATTACTGCTTACCTAAGATATTTTCCCAATGCTTGAAAGACATTTATCATTTATTGAAAACCAAATTTCCCCATATATAAATCAGGAAAACAAATTGTTACCTATACAGTCATTCAGGATGACATGAATATTAAAAGCTTCCGCTATATAGTGAAGAATAAAAATATATGGATGATATAAAACATGTTATTTCACTCTCTCATCTATTTACAGAAATTGTATATATAAAATTATCAATTTATTTTAAAATGCGAAGTGTAATTTTTAATAAAGTTTCTAAGAGAACTTGGATCTAAAGGCTTTGTGGATGTATACTTTTGTGCTGAAGTTACTTATCTTTATTTTTATTTTATTTTATTTTTTTGAGACAGAGTCTCACTCTGTCGCCCAGGCTGGAGTGCAGTGGCAAGATATCAGCTCACTGCAACTACCACCTCCTGGGTTCAAGTGATTCTCCTGCCTCAGCCTGCCGAGTAGCTGGGACTACAGGCGTGTGCCACCACATTGGCCAATTTTTGTATTTTTAGTAGAGACAGGGTTTCACCACGTTGGCTAGGCTGGTCTCAAACTCCTGATCTCAAGTGATCCACCTGCCTCAGCCTCCCAAAGTGCAGAGATTACGGGCATGAGCCAAGGAGCCCAGTCCTGAAGTTACTTAGAATCATGCTTTCTACAAAGGCCTGGTTAAGAGCTATGTAACTTTTTTATAACATTAATTAAATCACACAGTAAGCATTTCCTGGGCATCTACCTTGAAGGGTTTGGAAATATATGAGTAGCAAGACAGATCTAGCCTCAGCTTATATGGATTCTCTAGCCTGATGGAGAGTCCAAAAAAAAAAAAATTGTGTTAAGGGTCACAATGTGTCTATTAGATTAAGTGGCCCAGTTACTTGCTATTTGCAACTTTAATGAGGTCAGTTTTGTAGAGATAAAATGTGTACAAGACATGGATATATATTTTATGTTATATATTTACGTATATATAGTATCCATTATGTTAGATATGGATGCATAATGTATGTATTCCATATATATGCATATAATATACATGCTTTATATTTAATACAGGGGGTGCAAAGTTGGGGTGGTTCTTCTCATCTGATGGTTAATACTTTCTCCATTGCAGTAAGAAGTTAAATTATATCTTGGAAGGAGGGATAGAGGAGGGCAAATGCTGTAAGAGAGAAAGATAAAGATACCTGGAAATGACTTCTGTGGAGAATTGCAGAGAGGAAGTTGACACAACTAAGAATCTCTGGGCAGCATTAGGACCTGGTTGCTGCTGGTCATCATGAATGTGTACCATTACCAACTTTCATTGTTCTGTGATTTTCTCCAGTAGTTCTGGTGGAAGCACGGAGATGCTAGACTAGTACAAATGATCCCAAATTGGGGTTTGGCAGAAAGATGCAAGAGCTTGATTAACTTAGATAAATAAAATATTAACATGATAGTGAATTACAAGGAGGATAGAAAGGAAATGACAAAAATGATGACAATTGAGAAAACAGAGAGATCAAGCTATCAAATGTGTGAATGAGACAAAATCTTGAACTGCTGTCCTCAAACATCTGAAAGAGAGAACTGGAAAGAAGGAGGCTGTGAGAGATTTAATCATCTCAGTCTTTTATTCTAAACTTCTCATGATGACAACAAGGGCCAGATGTGACTATTGGGATTTGGTTACTTAGGTTGAATCAAGTGGAGATGAGGTCAAGGAACTGAAAGGGCAGGTTGTCATCTGAGCAAAAATAAAGACATTGCATTTCCTTAAGATAGCTGTTAGGTTTTGCATGGGAAAAACAAAACAAAACAAAACAAAAACTTGAGTTGGGTTGCTAAAGTTTTCAGCAAATTACAGGAAATGATTTGAATGTGAGTGAAACTCACTAGGAAGCAGAATGAAGAGATAGAGCTGAGTGCTATGATCTAAAAGTATACGTGTTTGTACCCGAGTTGATCTGCGGTGGCTTAGCAAATTCCCTGAGAATTAAAATCAGAGGACAATGACGCATAATATTCCAATGGGAATTCTAAATATTGTACATTTCATGAAAATCCTTAGTTCTTGACACCTCTTCTTTAAAAATTTAAGCAGTTTTACTACAGTATAATGATTATAAAGTACACATATTTTAACTGCTAATTGGCACATATTTACAAAATGGACTTTCTGTGTAATCACCACCCAGTCAAGATATGGAATTACCTATAACCCTTGCTTTGTACACCTAATCATTATCCATACTCTGACTTTTATAATCATGGATTGGTTTTGTCTATTTTTGTCTGCTTTTATAAACTGCTTGACCTATTTGATGGCCTACACATATGAACCAAAAGACATTTATATGAAGTTAATGAAGTATTATTTGCAATTGACTTCCTCAAATTTTAATGAAATAAAATTTGGCATGTACTTCATTTAAGAAGAATGTGAGTCTTTTCAAGTTCTAGTTTTTGACTGCTGGGGAAAAGGTTCAAGTGAAAAGCAGACAGAAGTAAGATGAGGCTCCAAAGCTTTGGAAGTAGAAAGTAGATTGTCATCATGGAGTGAAGCACTCGGGGACATTACATACCTGGCTATATGTATGAGTCCTTGTCCATTGGCAGGCCTTGGTTCAAAGTTGAATTTATCAAAAACACCATAGCAAACAGAAATATCAGTTAATTTTTTATTGAGCACTGATCACAATACAGGCATTCTTTTGATAGCTGCGTATATATTATCTCTGTTATCTTCACAGCTATTCTGTAAATTTGCTGTTCTCCTACTTCCATTTTATATCTCTCTAAACTGAAACATAAATAATTGAGATTGTCTTCATCCAGGATTTCCATCCAGACTATCTCCCCCAAAGGCAACACTCTTTCATAGCCAGACTTCTTTCAAACCAAACCTTGACCCCTTCACAAAGATTGTAGAATTCCAACTGGAAATGGACAGGAACACATCTGTTACCCACAGCAACTCTGTTGAAATCTGAAACCTGAAGAATTACTCAAATGGATAGTCTTTGGTGAGTATTTCTGGAGTCTACATTCTCCCTTTTCTTTGGTCTAACCTAGAAAACTTCAGGGGCGGATGTCTCTGTGTTCTTGTCATATTTCCATTGATTGCAAAAGTCTTATGGTTTTATGCTAAGGTCACATTCATTATCAGCCTCATTATGAGAGCTGATTGGTAATGAGAAAAATGGCATATAGATTAGTAGGCATACCAAAATCACTTCCAAAAATAAAAACAGAAACACTCGGCACTGATTTTTTTTTTCTGATCCTTTAAACAATTGCCAACTGAAAAAACAGGCAAGACTTTTAAAATGTTAATGTCCTCTTTATTATGATGGCAGATAAAACAATCCTGCGTCTATCACTTTTTAATTCAGATTTATTGAATATCTAGAGATTTATAATCCTTTCCCCAAGCACAAGAATAAAATATAATATATAATTAGCATCTGGAGTTTTCTGAAGACGATGTGATTGACGGAGGTGACAGAGATGATGTAAAGGTGTCAATAGCACTTAAGTCTCTGTATGTTTGATTGTGTGCATTTACAGTCCCATACCTGCTTAAATACATACATAATGCAGAGAAGAATATGAACATGACTATCTTCCACAAGAAATGACATGCTACAGTAGGTGGAAAAGTGTTGCTTTAACATACCTAGTAGTCAATAAGTGGTATGTGAATTTGTGAAGTGAATGTAGTACCTATAGATGTACTATATATCCTATGATACTTAAAGTTACATCATTATTTAAAAGTAATGATTTGTCTCTAACTCATTTATCTTTGAACAAGGGAAATATATTCTTAAAGCTCTATTGAAGTGCATTACAACTGCTCTGAGACTTAGAGATCCTTTGGACATTTTTAAAGCCATTATTTCAATCATTATTTTATCTAAAAATACTGTTTTAAAAAAAGGCAAATAAGGAAAACAAAAGCCTAGTGAATTTTAGCATCTGTCTGAAAGTAGTCTAGTAAACCACTGTAATAAAAATGATGTGATATACTGAGTTTGCTGAACAAAGGGAGCTTACAACACACTCCAGGGTAGCAATGAAGGGGTTACTGTTTATCATAATGTACAACGGGATGGAAAATGCATACTGGCTTTCAAGTTCAAAGGGCTTGAAGAAACTCTGGTAACTTTATCCCCTTTAGTCACAAACTGTGAGACGACATATGGTTAACATCCTTTTTTGGTGTTATTTTTAAACTTGTTTATGAGACATAAATACAAAGTATTCTAAACCCTATAATGACTTTTCTCTCTGAGTGGAAACTTGATTGTGATGGCCAAGCATTACTTCTTGCAGTTTGACTATCTGATGAATTTTCTCTTCACTGGTGAAGCAATAATGGATGCTGGAGAAACCAGAATCCAAAAGACTAATATATTATATTGTTGCTCTTCTTTTTTTTTCTCTTTTGAGTTTTCTCACGGCATAGGTATTCCAGACATAGACAGCTTCGATGGTTGAAAAGGGGATTTAGAGAACTGCCAAAAATCATTTGGAGAAAGAGAGTGTCTCCACAATGTTCCATGAATCAAATGGTAACAAGGGAATATTATTTTCTGACTAACTTAATTTCTGACTCTATAGCAGCTAAAGGTTTGGTCCTCCTAAATCACACAAGATTTTTTTTAAAGAAAAGAAAAGCCAAAGGAAGTAATAAATGTCAAACTCTCATCAAAAACAGGCTGGGCACTTTAATTTTTTTTTTTTATTTTAGTCTTCACTGGAGTTCTTTGAACTTGTAAAAAGTAACCCATCTGCAGTTCAGATCTACTGTAAAGCTGGTTTACCATGCTACCTGTTTTAAAACTTACATTTTTTTCCCCAGGAGATTAGGAAACCGGGACCATAATACATTATTAAATATACACATCTATTCCCTTTAATTTTCTTTGGTATATATTTAGAATCCCATACACTGTAATCAGGTAACATTTAAAGTATTAAGATGCATAAACATGTGGGTACTAGCTATAACACTGAAGTCATTTGTTTTAGGACAAGAATGTGTACCTGCTCTGAAACATTAATCCCCACAGAGGATGGCCAGGGCCTCCCAGTAGAAATTAAACAGTGCCTGCTGTGATTTTCTCTCATCTGATTCATCAACTATGTGTGTATTGGCTCTCTTTAAATGAAACTGAAAAGCAATAAAGACCCAGAATGAAATTTCATAAAGACACTACTTTTTTTCTAGTGCTTAATTGTGGCAAAAAGTATATGTTTTTATTCATAAAATGTAAAGAAAATGGTTTAGATGAAATGAATATCATGACACAAACAACTTAAACTAGTGAGACAAAACATGTGGACCAAAATCATATAATATGATTAACATTTTATTTCTATATTAGACATATAAACAGAATGGTATTTCATTTCTTGTGTTTCTTACTTTTTCTGTGACAAGTCAAATGTTATTGCAAATACTCATGTGACATATCTAAGACAAGACCGAACAATGTCTCATTTAAAGCTCTGAGATTCAGGTCATTGTCTTCGTGTTCAAAGACTCGTTCTCCCCTTTCTTCTAGCAACACTGCCTCACACAGGGTCAGCACATTACTGGTTCCCCTTTCTTCATCATATGGATTCACATCCAGCATTTCATTGACTTAGGGTGTTTCTTTTTGGGGGTCAACGGGTAGAGGAGATATGTGGCTTTCAAGCAATCCTTCTGATATAAGCTCATATTTCCAAAGGTCAGATGCTGCTATTGCTTAGTTTGTAACTGTTATTACCTTGACCTCACTTCCTATGTATAATAGGTATTCATGGATGGATGTTTAGTATTGTAATGTTTCTACTGAACTCTTAGGGAATTCTTTCCCACCATATAAAAGTTCAAGGGAAAGAGAAAATGTGACATAGTAATCCAAAGAAAGATTTATATGCTGTATTTTGAGAAGATAATTCTACCCAATTCAATATTATGCTCTCATCCTTGTGGGAAAAAAAATGGGGACAGTCACTTTGGTTTTTGCAGGATTTTACACACATTTTCAGACAAGCAAAAATATCCCCTATGTTTCATTTTTTGATATCTGAGAGTTGAATAATATTTTAAATGCTTCAGGTCACAATGCATATTTGCTTAGTGTGCTTTTCACAGAATCCTAGAAACAGCTGGTCAATTTTTATTTATTAATCAGTGCTGCTTTACTGCTCCATGAGACAATGAGAAAATGGTGCAATCAAAATTATAGCCCAAGATTCCTCACTTCTAGTCATAAATTCCAACCACAAAACCTCATTCTTCTTTTTAAGGTACTGCTATAGGAAACTTGTCTTATTCCAAAACCAACACTCTAGGGATTATCTAAACCAGAAGGGATGATTTTTTTTTTTTTTTCCTTTTCTGAGCTGTGGCCTTGCCATCTGCTATATTTCCCTTGTTTCACAAAACTGGTTTCTATGACCAAGAAACTTAAGTTCCAGCAAAGAAATAGGATATCTTATGCTGGTCTTTTAAGTTTAGAGAACAGTATGTTTCAACAACCTCAATGTTGAGATACCTGTATTTTACATATTTTCATATTATTTAGTTTTTCAAAGAATAAAGCATTTGAGCATTAAAAAATCCACATGTATTTTAAACTAATCAATAATAATTTCCAGCAACTTTTCACTTAGTTTACACTATAGGTGATAGGTTTTATGGGATACTATTTTTCAATTAATTCTATGCAACACACAATTTATGAAGAGAGTTTTGTTTCTTCTATACTTGTTCTGAATAGTATGCCACCTCCAGGATAAATTATGACCAAAGAGACGAGTATGTTTTTTACCTCTTTCATATCTCCACCCACTTCATTCTGAGAACAGAAATTGGTTCCCTAAAGCTATGCAAGATTAACTTCCCAGGTGGAAGTTATGTAAGATACATATATTTGTCCATGAGGTGTAGGGAATTGGGGGTGAAATGAAGGAGGGGTTTGGAGAAAGGGTTACTTGAATATACAACTGAGAAAAAAAGGAAAACATGAAAATAAATAATTATTATGTAATTTTCCTGCAATAAATCCTAGGTACTTATTTTAGAAGAAAATAAAAGAATATTTATGGTACTGGGAAAAAAATGGGAATCTTCCCTTGCTAAGATTAAACGTTGCCCAGGAGGAGATATAGATGTCACTAATGAAAACCTTGGGTAGGAGAAAAATTAAAGCAAGCTGCAAGTGAAGATCTAAGTGATTAGTGCAGTTAAAAAACAAACAAACAAAACAAAAAACAACACACGCACAAAAAAAAAAAAAGAAAAGAAAGGAAAAAAAAGAGCAAGCAAGTAGAGAAATTGGCATAAAATGGCATAAAATGAAGGCAAGCCCCTGGCTGTTCTCTGGAGAAAGGGAGTGTTCTAGAGCACAGCTCATTGTAGATGCCGATACACAGCAAAACTTTTGATGCTTCGTGTCAGGTGCCTACTGCCTACAGTTGTTTTCAAAGACATTTTCTCATATACTTTGTTGCATCTACAACAAACAGAATGATGCTTAGCATTTAGTTGGTAGTAAATAAATACTTGCTGAGTGAACAAGTAAATGAATAAATGAGGGAATTAATAAAATATGAGAATAACTGAATCATTTAAGCGTGGTATATCTTTAAGAGCTTCATAGAACAAAATAAGTAAAACATTACTCTCTCCATAATACTAGGTCACTTTATGTCAAATAAATAATGTGTACTAGGCACCATAATAGGTATACTACTGATGGCAGCGACAACCCATCTGGAGCTGCCATTGCAAGGATGCCAGCTGCAGGAGGAGAGGTGCAGCTATTTACTACATAGGTCCAGTGGGAGCCAGGAACAGGCGAGAGCCCCACCCGCCACCAAGTTGGTGGGGCAGGAGCCCACACTCCCAAGCTCAGTCACAGATGCCCAGCCACAGCTCCAGACCCCAGTATCCCTGCACTCTCCAGGGACCAGAAAGCCTTTCACCCCTGAAGGCTCGAAAGTGCCTGTTCCCACTGTCTGGCCTCTCCCCACTCCCGGCACCTACTCCAATTTTGGACCAGAGTTGTAGCCAACCCCAGGTGCTGTTGCAACACAGTTGGATGTGAGTGCTCTCAGGGGTGGCTCTGACATGCTAGCCCCTGCTGCCTTGGCTCCCTCTGGACTTTGGGCACAAATGAGCATGGGAAGGAGGCCAAGGGGGGGACTGAGGGAGGATTGGCATAGGCCTTCAGGCAACCCTCAGCATGAACAGCCTGTGCGTCATGGATGATATGTTGATGGCAGCAGAAGGCAGATAGGCTTAGGGGCAGAAAGGGGCGTATCCTTGGTGAAATCCCACCTTCAAGCCAGGGACTTCCTGAAGCCTGAGGCCCAGACTGTCCATTCCAGGTGGAGTCTGTGGCCAGGAGTGAAAACTTATGGTGCTTTGTCTGGGCCCCCCATGGCTGTCCATGGACTAATCAACATGCATTTCCTCCCTTTTGAAGCCCATAAACCCCCCAGATTCAGCCCAACTCACACAGACATTGGGATTACCAACTGTGAGAAGGAGATACCCAATCTGGGTCTCTTCAACTCATTGGGATGACCTGGCTGTGGAAAGGAGCTACCCACTCAGGGTATTCTTTCTGATGAGAGCTGGAGACCCATCAGGACTGCCTGTCTGTGGATAGGAGCTACTCACTTTGAGTCTGTGGAGACCTGTCCTGTCACTCAATAACACTCCTCTCTACCTGGCTCACCCTCCAGCTGTCTGCATACCTCATTCTTCCTGGACACTGAATGAGAACTCAGGACTCACTGAATGGCAGGACTGAAAGAGCTATAATACAAATAGGCTGAAAAACCCCCTTGCTGACCACATTGTGGGTGATGAGAAGGAAAAAAAAGCTGTGGCCCTTTAAGGATCCAGATCTAGGGGCTCCCTGAGCCAGGGCTGTAATACGTTATTTGGGGCTCTGTGATTTTTGGCATCTCCATGCTTCCAGGAGCCACCACATTCCCCTCATCCAGACATGGGTGCCCACAGCAGAAGCCGTTTGAGGTGCATCTGATCCAGCTGCAGCCTTGCACAGAGCCAGCACCTGTGCCAGTGCCTGGAGCTGCCCACCTTACCACACCAGCTGGCATGCTTGGCTGTGCACAGAGACCAGATCCAATGCTCACTCACTCATGCACACCTTGCTGCTCTCCGCCTGGCTCGCCCTTGGCAGGCATGGCATCCAGGCTGGCTGTGCAAGCTGAGCACAGCCTGCAATGCCAAGTGGGTGGAACAAGCCCAGTGGGCCCGAGCAAAACCCAGGCAAAGGTGCCACCAGTCACAGAGGTTTCAACTGGAAAAGTGACACCATAAGGATCTTGTGACACTACTAATATTTATAACACTTATAGTCATTCTTTTAAGTGAATATTGTTATCTTTTTTCTTAGAGAGGAAATCCTCTTTTAGCAGATCTGCAGGACCCTTTTGAAGCAAAAGCATGTGCAAAAGCAAGATTATATATTGTGACCTTGTTTGTGAAGACTTTGTATGCTTACATTGAAGATTATCCCTAAGTTTAATGACACTTTTTTTTTTTTATCATATTACTGCTTTATATCAATGGAGAAACCATAGCAGGTATACTTTTAACTGGTGGCCAGCATACTTTTTAGACTTGCCTCTATTTTCAAGGTTTTTTGTTTTTTGTTTTTTGTTTTTGAGACAGAGTTTTGCTCTTTTTGCCCAGGATGGAGTGCAATGGTACGAGCCTGGCTCATTGTAACCTCCACCTCCCAGGTTCAAGCGATTCTCCTGCATCAGCCTCTCAAGTAGCTGGGATTACAGGTGCCTGCCACCATGCCCAGCTGATTTTTGTATTTTTACTAGAGACAGGGTTTTGTAATATTGGTCAGGCTGGTCTTGAACTCCTGACCTCAGGTGATCTAACCGTCTTGGCCTCCCAAAGGCTGGGATTACAGGTGTAAGCCACCATGCCTGGCCAATGTATTTTCAATCATACTAATATATTTATTCAGTGAAACTTATTCAACATTTAAAAGAGATGGAAACTCTTTTGCCTTAAATTACTTTCTATGAGAAGAAGAGCTAAGGAAATCTATATCCATATTCATATCTACTTCTATATCTGTAAACTTATAGATATATGGGTGACAAAAAAGCTTTCTTAGAAATATAATCAGTAGAAGCACTTAAACTTAAACTAGTTTTTATTAACCAATTCTGGGTAGACTAGTCTAATGTTTGGCAAATACCTAAAAACATTTTCCTGTTCATAGTCTATCAGTCTTACATGTCAGATGAATATTTCAGGAAGAGTAGACTAAGAACGTGTATAGCCTCTGCCAGGCTTTATTCAGAGTATCAGGATCAAGCTCAGCAAAAGAACAGATATTTCATGGATGACCCATGGAAGAGGAAAACATGTGGTTTGTTTTTGGAAGAAGTGAAAGGTTTGGCTTTAAGAAGCTGTAATGTTGGGTATAACATATAAATTTATAAGTCTTCTTAAATGTGACATAATTTTAAAAATAAATTATGACATTCATATATTTTCCCAAATGGGACTTTTCCATTTACTTATAGGATCTTCCCTCAATATTATTTTTTGGGCAAAATATTTTTCCACTTCCTTAATTTTTTAAATGTATCCCCAAATTCTAAAATACATTGCATTTTGTGGATATGTGATGGAATTTGTGCTCTTATTCAGTCTTGCGGACAAAGAGCCGGCATGTGTAGGTGGGAATACTTGAGGTCTGGAAGTCCCAGTAACTCCCACTTGGAAAACTGTGTAGGTAGTGCAGAACACAAGGTCAGACTTCATTGCCTCAGAGCAAAAAAATCTGTTTTTAAAGTGTGTAACTTTAATATTGGCAACAAGAGCTATGGTATTTTTTCTTAGCTTGTCTTTGCATTACTTTTAGTTTCCCCATTGAGATATTTTACACTGTATATAACTCTGTGTCTAAGAAATGGGTTTAATAAAAGTACCTAATGCACAGTGTTGTTGTAAAGATTAACTCAGTTTATATACATAAATCATTCGCAACATGTCTGGCACATAGTCAATGCCATATAAGCATTTGCTATTATTATTCCCTCTCTCTTTCTTCTCACTGACACCTCTGCCTGTTGCATTTAATAGTTATCTCTGAAAATGATGTTCCATGCTCGTTACTTCCTGTATCAGTTTTTGGAGTATTTGAATGGAGATCTGTTCTATATCGTTACAGTGCTTAGTAAAGATGGAGTACATGTTAGGTATACATGATAATCATATAATCATAGCTGTGACTCTTGGTCTTAAAAGGAAATAATGCACTCCAACCTAAATTATAATAACTGTTAGTAAAACTTTTCTTTATAGAGTTACAACTGAGATTTGAATAGCGGCAACACAATGTATTCTGGCATATTTCAAACTGTTATATGTAAAATATAACATATACTAACTTATTTTTAAATGTAAGTTGTAAATAAATTATGAAACAGTCAGCATTATCACTACTGCAACCACAAACAGACATTAATAATTAACCCTCCACTACTGTTTACGATAGTATATATATTTTTATTTTTTTGAATTGTCTTTTTTATTTTAATCAAATAATGAATATTTTAAATGCTTATAAGTCTGTCTTCCTTCTAATACAAGTTTAGAAATCTTTCTCAGCTATTTGCATAGATGGAATACTTTAGAAAATTTAACCCGATGATTCCAGAATGTGTTAGGAAAGAATGTAAATATTTGACAAAAATAAATAGTAACCTAAAACAAACTACTTGGGGGGCCTATAACAACAATGTGGATAATTCTTTTCCTTGTTCTTTTTAATTTTCCTGAATATTTATGCATTGGGCTTCTGGCTAAGGATGGCAGCAGAATAGCCAAGAGTCTATAACAAAAATTACTTCTGCGGTTTTTTTCTGGCTGCTGTAACAGCAATAAATTCAGGGATACCAGATATATTAAGATAACATATTTTCATTAGCTTTCTAACCCAATTGTGGATCCATGTGGTTCAGATGAAATGCATTCATGTATGCAGATCTGAAATGCTCATCATAACCAAACTGAAATCAATGCCCTGGAGCATTATTCATCATGAGAATGAGCCACATTCATGCCTAGAAAAACAAAATCCAGTTTGTAATTTGGGTGGGTAGGGCGAGGGTTTGGAAGGTCTTTATTAGACTGCTTAGAGCTGACTTGAGCCAGGGCAGACTCAGTCTTCTATCTTTTCTGTGTTCTGCAGTGAAACTTTAGGTACCAAGACACTGTCTCCTGTAAGTAATCCTGGGTCATAGCATCTCAATGTTGACTAGCTTGTTTCCAGATTCTAATAAGATTTGAAGTTGTCTAAACTTGTGTCCCTATTTTCTGAACCAGGTTTCTTGTGTGGTCTCCACTTTGAGTTTCTCTCCCAGTCATCAGTCTGCTTATCCATTTCCCTAGTACACTAAGGCTCTACCAATAGCACTACCAATAGCACCCACTTCCCAACCCAGAGTACCCCACTTCGAAGATGAAGGCTTCACTTGAGTTTTGTTTAGAATTTTCAAAACGTTATGTGGAACTTAGAAAGTTAAGGAACTCCCCAGGAATGAGGACTAATAAATGGCAAAGCTGAGTATATTATTACACGTAATCATATTCATTTCATTCCAAAGCCTGTGAACTTCTAAGCTATTACTTTTGATTTAGCTTTTGTCTTTTTATCCCCATGAATATAAAGAGTGCAGTGGCATGATCTCTGCACCCAATTCCAGAATGGAGCACAGCAACCCCTGGAACTGCTCCTTAAATGCTGTTGGATGCCTGATCTTGAAGTAGTATTTAACCTGAATCCACTGTAACTGCGTTCTGCTTTCTTTAAATATAATATGTATGAGATACATATTATATATTTTAAATATAATATATTATACAAGATGAATATATCTTATATATAAAATATATTATATATCATATATATATAAAATATATAATTTTATATATTATATATTTTATATGTTTATATGTATTATATATATATTTAAGACATATATATATTTGAGAGCTATAATACCCCATTAACCAATATTTTGAATGAACTGGAACTAAATATTTCATTCCTATTTGTCTACCATGCCTGCCTGAAAATGTGAAAATCTCCTTTCACAGTAGTTCTGTCTACACTCCTAGGCCCAGCCTAGTAGACTAATCTAGTAACAGGTCTCATCCCTGCCACCTCTCCCACTGTCCCCCACAATTCTGAACACTTTGCCTTCTGTGAGCAAACAGTTTTGCTTAGATGACGCCAAACTATGGGTGAAAGCACAGAAAATGTAACTGATATATTGGCTACTTGTTATAATTACTGAGAAACAATGCTAGAAAATTTTTAGGATTATGGCATGAATGACTTCTTAAATCCTAAAGAATTTGAATATAATTTAGTAATAAATGAGATTCCACGGACTATTTGGATAGGTCAGAGTAACATTTTCAAACAATTTTTCTAGCTGGGCATGGTAGCTCACATCTGTAATCCCAACACTTTGGGAGGCCAAGGTGAGTGGATTACCTGAGGTCAGGAGTTCAAGACCAGCCTGGCCAACATGGCAAAACCCTGTCTCTACTAAAAATACAAAAAAATTAGCCAGGCATAGTGGTGCACTCCTGTAATCCCAGCTACTCAGGAAGCTGAGGCAGGAGAATTGCTGGAACTCAGGAGGTGGAGGTTGCAGTGAGTCAAGATCATGCCACTGCACTCTAGCCTGGAGTGAGATTTGGTCTCAAAAAAAAAAAAAAAAAAAAAAAAGAAAAATGTTTCTAATTGTATCACAGTAGCAGAATAAACAAGAGGCCATTTTAGCAATACAGAGTATAGGTGAGAATGGCTATAAGAGAGTGACTGCAAATTGACAGGCTTTTTTGTGGGTCTCTAACTATCCAATACAAAATCATTATTCTTGGGCAAATTTGGAGAAGCCAGATTTTGAGTTAACAAAAATATAAAAAAAAGACTCATGAGTCATCCAGAGAGAAAGGTGTACTACTTAAAACTGCAATGAAATGGAAGGCCAAATATAACTCAAAAAAATTAAAAACATAATTGAAAAGAAACGTAAGGTGCCAACTGGCACATAAATGGAAGGAAATCGCTTTAGCTGGGGAGTGAGAAAATAGAAATGATGAATTAGCTGAGGTTTGGACATCACAGGACTTGCTAGTATGTTTCAAGAATGTTATGAATATTATGCACAAGAGCTTATTGAGAATATTTACAACCTTAAGTATAATATAAGCATTACCTAATCATTGGTGTGTCTATCAAATTATAGTTACAGATTATTTATCATTATTATAGACACAATAGAGATTATAAGTGAAATAATAGTCAAATTTATGGAAATCGTTTTATATTCTCTAGCTTTATTTTTTAATACTTTGCATTAAAATGTATAAAATCAATTTCACTTATTTTAGCAAGGGTACATATATGATACCATCCTTTGAAATACATACACGTTACTAAGCACACAGGTTGAACATCTCAAATCCAAAAATCCCAAATCCAAAATTCTCCAAAATTCAAAACTTAAGTGACAAAATGAACTCAAAGGAAATGTTTATTGGAGCATTTCATATTTTTTGATTTGAGATGCTAAACCAGTATAATACAAATATTCCAAAATTTAAAAAAGTCTAAAATCCAAAACACTTCTAGTCCCAAGCATTTCAGAGAAGGAATACTCAACCTGAATTACCAAAATAATATGTTTTCATGACTCTCTTACCCTTATCCATCTTTCTTACACATGCATGTACACACGAGCACAATTAACAACTTCTCAATGGAGGAACTGTTAAAACATGTTAAAAATTCCCAGAACGTATTACTTTTGCCTGACAATAAGTAAATTTGTTAGTAAATAGTATTAAACTATGTCCCTTACCATACCAGCAAAGTATAAATATGATTTGTAAACAATATTTCATGGGTCTTTAAAAATGTAATTTTTTTCTATAAATATCTGTGCACATGTAGGCCTATACTTGAAAATATATACAGTTTTATTTGCAAGTTTTGATAAAAATGAAGACGTGTGTCACAATTAACAAGATGATTTTGTGGCTGTGTGTGCAAAAAGTAGACTGAAAGATAGCTAAAATAAAAGTGATTTCATGGTCATTTACATGTCTAAAATATTTAATAAAATCACCAACCATTCTTTAACACACATATGCAAACACATACACATAGACTACTTAACCAAATTAAATCAACATCATATTTTATATATAGCTATGAAGTTCAAGTTGTAATTTTAAGGCAGCAAAACTTTATTCTTTTCTAAATATTTATAAATGCTTGCTTGTATTTCTTATGATTAACAGCCAGCTTGGTGTGTTAATTTCTACTTTTGTTTGTAACCTGTCTGATTTTCTTATAGAAATAAATATGCAAAGTTTATTTGAATTACATTAGGATAGCTATGAAAATGGAACTCATAGCTGTATAACTACATTACTTTATTCCTATTATCTAAATACTATTGAAGGGACTAATTGAATCAAGTAGACATAGCACCCAATTTGCTTCTGGTGGGGGCTGCATGTCATTAAACAATGGATATGGTACCTTTTCCTTACGGCCATGGTGATTTTCCTGTAAGACGGAAGGGGCACCAAACTGAGCAAAGAAAGATTTTTCCTGAGAGACATAAGCATGTGTGTGTGTGTGTGTGTGTGTGTGTGTGTGTGTGTGTGTGTGTGCAGGTGCTCTGAGAGAGAGAACTCTGACTTTTCTGCTTTTCCCTTTGGAGTCCCAAGGTAGGATGAGGCTAGTTGTGACACTTTCCTTCTCACCTCCAGCTTGGTAAAACACATGGTCTGCAGTAGAGAAGAGTAAAGTTCACTTGGGCCCAGGTGAAAATGAGAGGGGAAGGCTCTGTGAAATATCTGAGTGCCTACTTCAGTAGAGCCTAAAGCAAACCCTGTTCCTGTCCTTCCTAGTATTTTCCCTTTTTCTTTAGGATAAATTGGGTTGGCTTCGTGTAACTTCAATCCACAGTATTTCCTTGACGTTCCTAGCAAGGGAGGGACCCACCCTCAGGGTTATGAACAATTTACAGTCCTCTGTTACACCATCCTTCCTTTCCTCTCTAGATAGAATGTCAGAATGGAAGCAAGGAGGTTATTATTACAGGCTTAACCTAAATGTGTTCTGATTTACTTTAAAGAAAATCATTTGCAAACTTTGCTCCTTTAACAAATATCAAATTACTTGAAATTCACCTCCCAACTAATCATGACCCATCAGTGTCTCCACGCTTCTCTTGAGAATTGCAACTCCAGCTCAAGGAAAATGAATGGTTTTAATTTGCTTCTCATACATGAGCCTGATCAATGAGCAATTTCACAGTGACTCCTCCTCCTGCTAGCAAAATAGACTTTACTGTACAACTAGAAGAAAGCTTTCATTACTGTTACTACTCCTTGCTTCTTTCCTTTCTTCATTCTTTCTTCTTTTTAATCATTCTCTCTCAGAAATTATTTCTCCTTTCTCCCATCACTGTGGATCAATAAATAGCCTGAATTTGTTATGAGTAGAATTTTTTTTCTGTTTATATCTCATATGTATACTGTATTGTTTAGTAATTTTCATCATCCTATACAACTGGAGCACTCTGTTCCTTCCATAGTTTATCTGATTTGGTTTAATTTATCGGAGTTAAAATGCTAATTATTTGATAAATAAACTTTAAATATATTTTAACAAAACCTATAAAAATGTGAAACATGGCTTTGAAGTAGCTTATTCTTAGACACACTACCCATGTCAGTAATCTTTATGAACCCTGACAAAAACTGGGCCATGTGAACTGATGGAGATGGGAATTACGTGAGGTTAGCCTTCTAGCATCACAGAAATTTTAGAGCTTATAGGGACCTAGGAGATAATGCAGTCAAACTCTCCAATTTTAAGGATAATTAAATTTAAATCACGAAAGGGTAGGGGAATTGTATAAGATAAAACAGCTAATTGATGGCAGAGCACATATGAAAATTGGGGTCACCTATCTCACAAGTCAAACATCTTGCTTCTGCAACATGATCTATGTTAGTCTAATGTTAAGGAAATAAACATTACTGTATTATTATACTGTATTGTTATTATTTAGGTTTGCAAAAGCAACTCTCCACTTAGAGCTTCATTTTCTAAATAATGTTGGTTGTTTCATATTCCATTAACATTTACCTATGCGACATAGATTACTTTTAGGTAAAATATTTAATTTAGTGTTTTTGGCATATGTATTTTTTTACCCAACTTGCATAAAATATATAAACACATTAAGTAATCATTTTAGAACAAAAAGTAATTACTTAAAAGAAGCTTAATTTAACTTCTGAAGATGAAAATAAAGAAAGCAATTTCTTTATAATGAAGTCACATTTTCTCAAAACAAAAAATGCTTTTCTCCTCTATAAAACTTGTTGAGCAAGTGTGGTTTAAAGCAGGAATATTTAAATGGAGAATATGATTTGGTATCCCCTGAGGTAAGATCAGTTTTCAAAGGATTAAGCTTGGGAATTTTCTCAAATGATTTACCTGCTAATCTGGTAGGCCATGAGAGCCAGAGTGGCACTACATTTTGCTTTATTTCTCAGCCTGGGTGGGCCTAATTTTGGGAATAAGGTAGAGAAATTTGTGCTTGGAATAAAGGAAAATAAAAACTGAAACATCTGTGTGTCAAGTACACACATCTGTATAGTTTGCTGAATATCTGTGAAACACACTACATCTCAGACCTTTATTTACCTACTGTGCAAGAGAATACAAGTGAAGGGAGTGAATGAAGTTGAAAATGACAAGATGAATAAATAAATCCATCTCCTTAGTTACTCTCAGCAAGTACCTCTGACTCTTAGTTTTTTTGCTTATCAGCCTTTGGCAATAATATCTTTTTCTTTCTTTCTCTCTCTCTCTCTCTATATGCATATATATGAATAATATATTATTTCATATATATAATTATGAATAATTCATATTCATAAATATATAAATAATTATTTATATATTATTCATATATATGCATATATATTCTATTCATATATATGCATCTATATTCTATTCATATATATATGAATATATATAGATATATATGCATCTTTTATTATTTGCTTAGCTTTCTTGTTTAGTAAATCTCAGGAATACATTAGGAATAAGTGTTATTGGTTTTAAGAATAAAAGCACTTGCAAGTATTAGATTTTAAAACAATTTAACAACATTTCTAAAAATAGAAGCACAATTTATAGGCAGCAATTGTGCTTCTCAAGTTCTAACAGTAGGGCAATTTCTATAAAATGGAACTTTCAGGTAGATTACTTCTTTTAATCCTCTGATCCTACCTGGTTCACCTATTGAATAGGTTGACATTTTTTCAGATTAGTAGTACTCAGTTTTACTGTTTCTATTATTGATTTATATCCGGAATCAATTTGCTATTATGGGACAAATTTAAGAATAATTAAATTTTGTAAGAAATATATAAGGACTATATATTGTGGACAATATCATCTTTCTAATCACAATCTGTTTTCTTCTTTTCTCTCTCTTTTTTCTATTTATTTATAGCTACCTCCTCTGATGTGTACTCATTTTAATGTTCGTATTTTTTGAGACAAAGTCTCACTCTGTCACCCAGGCCAGAGTGAAGATGCGCAGTCATAGCTCACTGCAGGTTCAAACTCCTGGGCTCACGCAATCCTCCCACCTCAGCTTTCCATGTAGCTGGGACTACAGGTGTGTTCCACTACACCCAACTTGAAGTGTGCTAATTTTAAAGGCACAAGTACACACATTTAAAGAGACTAAGATAATGGACCAACAAAATGAAAGTGGCTCTGTAGTTTTCAACTTCAGAATAGCCTCCCTCAGGTCACTATTACAATATCTGGACAACCACATTCACTAAATCTTTAATAGAAACACAAATGTAAATAAAGAGAAAATGAAATTATCAGCCTTATAGAGCCATGTTATCTGGTTTCTGACAACTGTTATAAACCCGTTGTATCAAGTGTCTAGGTAATTCTGACACTTGAGGAGAATACTAACAAGACAATCCTAAGCAATCTTACATAAGCCACCAACTCTCTTTTATGTTGCAACCATGACTCCCTTTTTAAACTTAGCAACCAAAGATGCAAGATGAGGCAATGGAGTGGGCACAGATCTGTCAGCACTTTTCAAAGGTCATGCTCCACTGAAATCTAGTCAGAAAAGTCATCCTCAGAAATTCCAGAAAGCACAGTATCAACCATGTAAATATAACAATTCTAATAAAAAGCTTCACCTAGTTCAATCTTTGTCTTTGATATAAAATAATACTTTATACTTCATAGGATTTCTCTCAATTACTAAATGCAAGCACTGAGTCTGTTTACTTGCCACCGTCTGTTTTTCTCACCATGCTATAAGCTCCTTATAGCAGATACTATGTGTGTACTGCTGATAGATATACTCAGAGTGTCTAGCGCCTTGCCTGGCACAGCTTGCATACTTGATGTAATCAATGGAAAAAATAACTAAAATGAAATATGAGCTTTATAAAAGTAATATCATAGATTATATCAATAGGGTCATTATAATTAATTGCAGGAAAAGATTGAAAAACAAAGAAAATTTAGAATCTATGAAAAAAGAGCAAGATATATTGGGAACTGGGGTAATTTCATGTGCACCTGCTGCTGATTTTGTAGACTTTGGAATGTGTTTCAGTGACAATCAAGGACATAAAACCTTCAGATGCTTGCCTCTCTAATAGGTTATTAACCCAATAATTATTTATTTATTGTTACATAATGGACTATTCATATCCATTCTGATCAATAATTAATACCAGATTTAACTGAGTATTAATAGCAATGAAGTAATAGAAAAAAATTTGTTTTTCTATTCAAATATATTAAATGATTATGGCCAAAGGAACCTAGTTCTGAGGAACTAGGCAACAAAATAAGATTATATTGGTAATAGCATCTAGGACCTTCTTAAATACTATTTTATTCCACCAATTCTATTGGCTCTATTTTATTCTTCAAGCTTTTATTGATTGTAAATGAGACTAGATTACAAAGTCCAGTGCAAAAAGAGATTTTCCCACACTTCCACCAAGTTAACATTAGTATAGGCAGGTCAGGTTACGCCATTATCTCTGAGCATCTGGAAAACTGTACTATTTGGTCCCTAGGCATCGCCAAGCAAATCTTTAGGGACTTTTCTATTTTTCCAGCTCAGCTTTTTTCCACCTTAAGAAATAAATAATAATCATGAGTTGAAATGTAAACGCAATTATTTACAATGGTATATTTTATCATCCTAATAGCAACAATGATAATTTCCTACATTATACTTTTGAGAATATATCTATCTTCTTTTAAAAATCTGCATCTTGCTTAAAATAAATATAGATTTGTGCATGCCAACCTTTATCAAATCAGAGGTTTAATACTCAGGAATGTTTCAATATTATTTGTCAGGTTCCTACTAAAGCAGGTCTTTTGCTGATACATTAATGTAAGCATGAAAATAACACTGCTCTTTCAGATGTAGAGGAATGCCCAAATAACTAAGCAATGAAAATACAAATTTATCTAAAATATTTTGAAAAAATTGTACTATACTATCTTTGATATTCTTTAAACTTAGGTATTCACCTCAAGGCCAACCACATGCTAGGAATAGAAATATATCAGCAACATTCCTCTAGCCCCGAATTTCCATAATGTTTTCTGTGGGACACTAGTCTCCTAGAATATTAATAGATTGTATTCAAACTAAAAGTTCTTTAGTTTAAGAAGCATAATTAATGATGGAATAAACAAATGTAAACAACTAGACTAGCTACTGCCAGGAAATCTAAGACATTTTAGCGCATGAATGCATAAAGTGAATTTTACTTAGGACAGTAATAGAGCACACACGTTTTCCTACGTTTACCTGAATGTCGCACATTTTCCCCAAAGCATATTAGAAAAGCTAGTGTTCCAAGGAACAAACTTTGAGAAATGTCCCACCCAAACCATCGTTATATGAAAAATACTAACATCTGTTGTAGGCAGCATTGAGGGTGCTGAGGGAGCAATTGCATGGTGATTAGACATTCTGTAGTTTAATATATATACATGCAATGTAAACTTCTGACATTCCTTGTCAAATGCTTGCTATATTTTTGTAGGCTCTTTGTCCTGCTCTATTTTTTTCTTTACTATTAGAGTCATGTATAACAAACAATCCTACGTTTCTTTTATTTCCATATTACAGGGTTATTTAATTGCTGATTCAGTATATCCCTCTTCAAATGATTTGTCTGTCTCATTATGGGTCATTCAAATTTCATAGTGCATTCTCCAAAATTTGTTAATCTTATTCTTTTCAGTTTAAATAAAAAATAAAATTATATTTATATGGAATGGAAAAGTACATCTATATAAGCTTTATTTTCTTGACATAGAATTTTGGAGTTTCAAAATATTTTCAGAAATTACATAAGAATCCATTTATTTAGAGTTTGGCCCATTTTTAACCATTTAAAATTTATCTTTTGCTGTTTCTGCTTAAACATAAAATTTCTATTTCCAGCATACATGTAACTTGTCCCAGGTGAACCGAAAGTGCATGATCCACTTTGTGGTTTGCAAAGGGGCCTCTAAGGTCTCACAGGCCACTCTAACTTGACTTGGTGAAGTTGCTGCCTCCTGTTCTTCTGCCTTTCCTTTGGTCAGTAAACAATCCACCGTGCAGGAAAGGCCCCTGAAATTCCTAACAATTATTTCTCCCTCTTCCCACAATTAA
Source organism: Homo sapiens (assembly GCF_000001405.40). Taxonomy (NCBI): domain Eukaryota; kingdom Metazoa; phylum Chordata; class Mammalia; order Primates; family Hominidae; genus Homo; species Homo sapiens. The sequence continues at coordinate 84,274,385 of NC_000007.14, forward strand.
GGGAGTAGAGAGAAGAAAGAGAGTAGAGAAAAGTACACAGCCCTGCTTAGACTGTCACTTTGCATCAGTCTGAGAGGGAACACATTCCCAGGCTGAAAGGGGTTGCCCGGAACAATTAAGCATGGGCTAAGAGTGAAACTGGGAAACATTCCAGCTTCTCAGAAGTCAAGTCTTCATTGTGTGATCTTCAAAATAACAGAAAATAAATAAATATATCTCTACTAGAATGCATGTTCATTCATTCTAAAATTATGTAAATGTACTCTACTGTACTTATAAATTATATGTATTATAAAATACCCCAAAGATACGTTTTTTGTGCATGTGATAAGCAGGGTGATCAAAAGATTTATTTTCCAAACAGGGCTGGCCTTCTTTTGAAAGCAAAAGGAGGTGTTTTAATACTTATATTGAGACAACTGAAAGCAATTGGAACTCCCTAGGCAAACCTGGACATAAAAGTGCCTAGCACAGATTAAATTTAAAATATTAAAAATATTTTACTAATTATAATGGCTTTATATTATCATTAGATTATATCTGTAGGTATGATCCTTACTTGGAGCCAAGTCCACCATGAACTATAGGGGTGTTAATCCACATTTCCAGTAGATATTTTGATAATTTTACTACAAGTTTCACTCTGCCACTTAATAAGTCTGATCATACTATTATTATTTTTTACATATAATTCAGACTGAGAATGACTTTCTGTAAGGATTGAAAGGGTTAGCTCTGCATTTGTTTTCTTACATATTTGCAAAAATATTTTATAGCCTCCATTTTGTGAGAGTTAGTTTAATCAATGCTAGGAAATATAATAATGACATCCATACATCCACTTACCAGACATAGATAAGAGATGATATATACTCTCTCACTTTTGTGGAACTTTAAGTCTTACCTCAGGCTACCAGATATTAATGACATGAGACAATCTGATATTTGGACCAAATAAAAGCATCAATGTCAATACAATATCAAATATTTGTAAACTCTAATTCACTTTGTACTTTTAAGACAAAATTAATATACTTTATTGTTCTAATCCAATCTTCTTGAAGATGAATAGCATTTATATTGTGTACCACCTGGGATGCACACACCTGACATTACAGCTGAGTCACCTGGACCTGTGCTTCTCTGATATGTACACATAGTCACCTGGAGAACTTGAGAAAATACAGATCTATTTTTGTTGATCTAGGGTGCAGCCAGGATTCTGCATTCCTAGAAAGTTCTCAGGGGTTGCTGGTCTAGGGATCACATTTTGAGTACCAAGAATCCTAGCCCTGTGCTCTTTAATATAATAACCATTAGCCACATGTGCCTACTGAACATTTGAAATGTTGCTAGTCTAAGTTGAGAATTACTGTAAATGTAAAATGCATACCAAATTTCAAAGACTTAGGGCAAAAAAGGAATGTAAAATATTTCATTAATAATTGTAATTTTTGATTACATGTTGAAATAATTTTATTTTTATGATATATAAATGTTTAGTGTGGCATATAGATACATTAATTTAAATATGACTCCTAGAAATTTAAAATTATTTACATGGCTCATATTACATTTTTATCGGACGTTGCTGCTTAAAATTACAAAATATTGTCCTGCTCATGTAAAGTGGTAGTGAAATAACTCACTATGTGCCTCAATTGATCTTCTCAGACTTGTCTTTTTCCACTCTCTGTCCCATGCCCTAAGTTCCAGCTATATGTTACTTGATATTTACCCAACATCTATTCTTTAATTCTTTCGTTTATTCAATAAATATTTATTGAGTGCCTATACTGAACCAGGCAAAACTAGTAGGCACTGTATGCACTGGGGTATAACACTGAAAAAAGATGAACATGAACAAAGTCTCATTGAACATACGAGCTCTAATTCTTCTCATTTCATAAAAGGAAAAATTCCTTTTAACCCTTATGTCTCTTTTTCTTGAAGTCACTCACTGGCTCCTTAATCTGTACTTCTATAGTGTTTTGTCTGTTTCATAAAAAACATTGCCTTATAATTGATATATATATAGCATATGTTTTTCTTCAAATAGGTTGTTAATTAAGTCTTTGATGGCATTATTTAATTACATCTTTCATTCTAGTACAATTTCCAGCACATAGTAGGTACTTAATAAACCAATTTTTGAATGGATTATTTAACAAATAAGATGGTACAATTTTAAAACAATTTAATTTCAAATAGCACTGATTATTTTAATTTGATTTCCATTTGACATGGTTCATTCCAGCCCTTCTTTTGTTATTACAAATATTTTATACAGTAATATACTATCAAGCTCAGCTGGTTTAAAATCAATTTAACACAATTTGATCTATGCCTGCCTAGTGCTCTTATTATACTTTAAGCATTTCATTTATTCTTTCTGAACACTGATCTCATTAACAAAATGGATTTTTAATTCCTGCTACATGTTTTGTTGCAAAGATTGAAAGATTCAATTTATGAAATTGTTCCTAGATCATGGCAGTCCCTCAATAAATACGAAACTTAAATAGTTCAGACTTAGTCATTTTATTTCCTTTTTATTAACTAAATGTAAAATAATGTTTTGTGGGTAAAGCATTAGGCCACTTATGAATTCCAAGTCAAATTTATGGCTTTACATGTACCTAAATGTGCTGCTTTGCCAAGTAGTTTCATTTCCCTCTATATCAATTATTTTACATGTAAGATAAGATTGGACAAAATGGCATCCCTCTCATGTCTACAGTTGTATGAGTCTTTGAAGATGATGATGAAGTCTTTTTTGAAAATCAGCAATAACAAAGGCCTTTTAATCTTTTCCTTCCCTCCTTTCTTTTTCTTTCCAGTTGCAAATATTATTAGGCATGCATGAGTGATAGCAGGTTAAAATTGGGAGTATTGGTATGAAATCATGGTTTAATATATAGATATAGATGTAATGATAGATATAGATAGAGACGTAAAGTTGTGTGGGTGTGTGTGTGAATACAAATACTTCCTAGTTCTGTCCACCTAAAGGGCCCGTGAATAGCAAAATCCACAAAATAATGAGCACATTCACTACTGAACTTTTGGTTGCTACATACTTTCGACGGAAAGAAATCAGTGCTTCTTAAAAAATGGGGTGTGACTGAGAAGAACCTGAAATATTGTGTTGTGCCAGATAGTAATGAAATACTCAAAGAATGATGTTGTGTTAGTCCATTCTTGCATTGCTATAAAGAAATACCTGAGACAGGGCAATTTATAAAGAAAAGAGGTTTAATTGGCTCATGGTTCTACAGGCTGTCCAGGAAGCAGAACGCAGACATCTGCTTCAGGGGGGGCCTCAGGAAACTTACAATTATGTAAGCAGGGCAATCGGGTCCTAGGCCTGGCTCACAAAAGCATTCTTTCCTTCTAGGCTTCAAGACCTCTGATGAGACTGGCTGCTGCACAGGTCTCTGAAATGCCTTGGAGGCCTTTTTTCCATTGTCTTGGATGTTAGTATTTGGCTTCCTTTTTGTTATGCAAATTGCTCTAGCAAGTGGTAGCTACACAGCCTGCATGAATTCCTCTCCCCTAAAAGCTTTTTCTTTCTCTGCCAAATGGTCAGGCTGCAAATTCTTCAAATTTTTATACTCTGCTTCTTTTATAAATATAAGTTTCAACTTAAAGTCATTTATTTCCTCCTGCATATGAGTATTGGTTGTTAGGAGCAGCCAAGTGACATCCTAAGTACTTTGTGGCTTAGAAATTTCTTCCAACAGATATCCTAAATAATCAGTCTCAAGTTCAAAGTTCCACAGGTCCCTAGGGCAGGGGTACAATACAGCCAAGTTTTTTGCTGAAGCATAACAAAAGTGACCTTTGCTCCAGCTCTCAATAAGTTTCTCATTTCTGTCTGAGACCTCCTCAGCCTAGACTTCACTCTTCATATCACTATCAGCATCTGGGTTACAACAATTTATTGAGTCTCTTAGAAGTTCCAAACTTTCCCTTCTCTTCCCTGTCTTCTTCTGAACCCTCTACCCTCTTTCAACCTCTGCCTGTTATCCAATTCCAAAGCTGCTTTCACATTTTCAGGTATCTTTAAAGCAACACTCCATTCCTTGGTACCAATTTTCTGTATTAGACCTTTCTTATTGCTATAAAGAAATATCTGATGTGGGTAATTTATAAAGAAAAGATGTTTAATTGGCTCATGGTTCTGCAGGCTGTACAAGAAGCATAGAGATATCTGCTCAGCTTCTGGGGAGGTCTCAGGAAACTTACAATCATGGTGGAGAGCAAAGGAAGGGCAGGCAGAGCACATGGTGAAAACAGGATAAAATGAGAATGTTGAGGAGGCGCCTCACTTTTAAACAATCAGATCTTATGAAAAACTTGCTATCATGAGCACAACAACAAAGGGATGGTGCCAAACCATTCATGAGAAATCCATCCCCAGTATACAATCACCTCACACCAAACATCACCATCATCATTGGGGATTACATTTCAACATGAGATTTGGGTGGGACACATATCCAAACCATATCACATGTCAAAATGACTAAGGATCTAGCATAAGGGACTTCCACTGATCAAATCTGAGATGATAATAGTAATTATTATAATACTCTAAATAAAATAGGTGTTCTTTTACTTAGAATGCCAACTAATAAATGCATTAAAATGAATGTGAAAATAACAATTTGAAAATCATCATAGTCACAGTTAGGCAAAATTATCAACTGTTTATAAAATAAATGGATATAATGTGATTAAGAATGGGATATGTATTTAGTTTCAAAGTATCTCTCTTCAAAGTACTTACTGATTGCAAAGGAAAAAAGAAATGTAACTTTCTAGTGGAGAAACCTGGCAGTGACCAGGTTACTTGGTCACTTAAGATAACTTGATTAAGATAACCTAATATCACCAAAAATGGAACACATCAATACTATATACTAACTAATAGGATGTAATAAGAAGGACATAGCATCACTCTTGTACTTTCCTACCCAAAATGCATAAAGTAGATACAACCTTGGAGAAATACTGGAAAATTCCACATTGAGGAACATTCTACAAAATCAATACCCTATAATCTTAAAAAAAATGTCAAGATTGTAGAAGTTAAGGAAAGACTAAGGAAATGCTCTTATTGAAGGACATGAGAGAGACATGGCTACTGATTTCAAGTGACCATCCTGGATTGGATTCAGTTGGAGTAATTGCCTGGGACAATGGGCAAAATTGAATTTGGGGCAAAGGTTATGTGGGAGTTCGTTTTACTACTGCAATTTTTCAATAAGTTTGAATGCTTTCCAAATAAAATTAATTTTCATAAGAAGACATAAATAAAGCCAACAAAAGGTTTTCTAATATGAAATAGTAGACTATATGTGAAAACTTCTTGAAGTTAGTCAAATACCTAATAGTTGGAAGCCAGTGTATTCACTAGGAATGTGTGATATTGGCTGGATCCATGGTCTCCATTGTTACATTTTTCTGTCTCTTGACCAGTAATGACATATTCATATATTTTTATTTTTACGTATTTATTTATTTTTGACCTAAGGTCTCACTCTGTTGCTCAGGCTAGAGTGCAGTGGTGTGACCACATCTCACTGCAGCTTCGAACTCCAGGGCTTATGTGATCCACCCACCTCAGCTTCCTGAGTATCTGGGACCAAAGGCACATGCCACCATGTCTGGCTGATTTTTGTATTTTTTTGGAGAGAGGAGGTTTCATATGTTGCCTTGGCTTGTCTCAAACTCCTGGGCTCAAGCGATCCTCCACCCTGGCCTTCCAAAGTCCTGGGATTACAGATGTGAGACACTGCACCAAGCCTCTTATTTTGAATAAAAGTTATTTCAGTCATAGTTCGGCCTCCCGGTCAATTTAGATGTTACTCTTTCTATATGTCCACAGCATGCTTTATATGCCTTTATTAGCACAAATCACAGTGTCTCCTAAGCTAAACTATAAGATCTGTGATGGCAGGAAGCTTGTTGTAAAAGACCACTGTACCACGGCAATTTATTTCAGAATTAAAGTTACACCATGCTCATATTGTGAATTATGTATCATTTATCAATATGTAAGAAATCCTTTGTTCCATTACATCTCTTTATTCTTTAAAATGTCTGTATAGTGGCCGGGCATGGTGGCTCATGCCTGAAATCCCAGCACTTTCGGAGGTAGAGGTGGGCATGTCACCTAAGTTCAGGAGTTCAAGACCAGCCTGGCCAACATGGTGAAACCACACCTCTACTAAAAATACAAAAATTAGCTGGGCATAGTGGTGCACACCTGTAATCCTAGGTACAGGGGAGGCTGAGGCAGAATTCCTTGAACCCGGGAGGCGGAGGTTGTAGTGACTTGAGATCGCCACTGCACTCCAGCCTGGGTGACAAAGTGAGACTCGGTGTCAAAAAATAAATAAATAAATAAATAGGCTGTATAGAAATAATAATATAAAAATTGCATTGGCATTTTTCACAATAGCAAATTTTAAGCATTTGATCTTTCACATAGTATATCATTGAATTTAGTTGTATTTATTTATTTTTGCCCTAAATGACAGAATGAATCTTTTAATATGGAATGTTCCCACTTACTGTTATAAACGATATACTTCTTTGCCCTTTTCTTTAATGCCATGGCTCCTTGCCACCTCCTTTACTTTTGTTATATGGATTATGTATAATTTCATTTTGAATTCACTGGTATGTTAGAAACTGGATGCCACATTTAGATCTGCCAGCCATTGCTCCTGAATTTTGAAAAGCAGTTTTAAAGCCATTAGTATTTTTTTCTAGTTGTGAGTGAAGGTTCATCTCTAGGATAACCCATTTCTGATAGAAGATTCGGCCTCCTTACTCCTCAGTTACTATCATAATGAGGGTTGGATTGAGGAGGCTGGGAGCAGAATAGAGATCATCCATAGAGGAGGTCTGTGGTGCTGAAAGGAAAGGCCAGCCTTATGATAACCACTTGAAGACAAGAAACAGCAGCCTGGGGATACTGCCCACATGAGCCATGGTAGATTCAAGGACTTACATGGAAACTGGGTGGAAGTTAATCAACATGTGGAGTTAGTGTGTTGACAATCATGTGAGCATCACCCAGGGATTATACTTGGATAGGATTAGATAGAGATGACCCAGACTACTTTCCACAAAAAAAGGGATAAGCAGTTTAGTTAATGATAGCCTGGGTTTCTTTTATTAAAACTGTATTTTTCTCAGTTTATTCCAATTTGAAATCATTATCAATTTCTTATAGATTTTGATATTAGATAGTATAGTGTGGTGTTCAAAAGAACAGACTCTGTAGCTACATTCAGTAGGTTCAAATTCCATCTCTGTTGCTCATTAACTGTGCAATCTTGAGTGTTTTACTTAGCTTTCTTATCTCAATGTCTACAGCTATAAAATGGGGGAAAATGTGGATAGGCATAAAATATTTTAAAAGAGAAACTGAGTCAATATTTATGGCAATACTTGGTTGGCATAGCTAGAATTCAACAAATATTCATCATTACTAAAGTGTGTTTTGATAGTGCTGAGATGTTTTCTTTTTCTTCTGTATCTTCATGGATATCTAGAAGAACACAGAAATTGCCATTTATCTGCTACCCAGAAGCCACACTGAAATGGAATTTCTTGATTGTCCATTTTAAATGATATTTTCTATAATATTCAGAATCACCTGAGCCCTTAACTGCACCAACGTTGCACTGACAAAGATGATGTATATAGAAATTCCACCATCTGTGCATATGTCACAACATCATCCTTTTTGGAACCAATCCGCCACTATTAATTAGCTCCACAGTAAATTCATGATTTTTAGTCACTGCTGGATCCTCAAAGCTGGTTTACAGTTAAAAAAAACATTATTCCTAGCTTCCTAGTTGACTCTTTTTTGCATTTCCTTTTGTGGCTGCTATAAAATAATTTCATTCTCCTTGACCTTGCCAATTATTTATTCAACTTCCAGAACAGCTAACCTCCAAAAGCTTTGTAAATAAATCCATTTTTTATGTTAGCAATTAAATTAATATGTATTCTAAGCATCCTCATATTTTTTAGCAACATCATAATTTATTAAAATGTTATTATCTTTACTGTTTCCCCCATTTATTAACAAACATAATTGTCTTTCCTATCCTAAAACATCTTCTATTTGTGAAGTTTGTAAGCTTCTCTCATTCTAACAACCTTCTCTAAGTCAGTAGATAACGTTAAGCCAGTGATTTCTAAAGAAAAAATATTTTCATTTCTGTATAGTATCTATTAATAGCTGTGCTCTCTCTCACACTTTCTCCAAGAAAACCCCACCAAAACTAAACAAAAACTTCCATGATAAAATAAATTTTGGGGCCGGGTGCAGTGGCTCATGCCTGTAATCCCAGCACTTTGGGAGGCCAAGGTGGGCGGATGACTTGAGGTCAGGAATTTGAAACCAGCGTGGCCAACATTGTGAAATCCAGTCTCTACTAAAAATAAAAAAATTAGCCAGGTGTGTTGGCGGGCACCTGTAATCCAGGCTACTTGGGAGGCTGAGGCAGGAGAATCGCTTGAACCTGGAAGGTGGAGGTTGCAGCGAACAGAGATCACACCACTGCACTCTAGCCTGGGCAATAGAGTAAGACTCCATCTAAAAAAAAAGCATTTTTTTTTAAGTAATGAATAAAATTATGTAAATTTTATTTACAGAAAAATAAGCATTTTAACAGGTTAATATAAGTTGTTAATCTTTAAGAATTGTGTGTGTGTGTGTTTGGGGTTTAAAGGTTACGAACAGTAAGAGGAAGCTTGGCTTCCAGACTTACTGGAACACTTAAATCTTCTCAGCACACCCAACATCATACCATTCTAGAAGCAGTATACCGATGAACACATACTAACCATTTCCCGAATGCATGGAAAGCAGATACATCAATACACGCGTGTGTTAAACTATGGGTTGGAACTTCTAAAGTAATGTATCAAGTCAAATCTCATCAAACCTGCACTCATTTTTCTCCTCAATATTTCTGTTCAACTATTACTGTTAATGTTACACATCATTAGGCTTAAAATCCAAGAAAAACACTCAAATTTATATTTGATTCTTTTCCAGTGCTCTCATTTACTAAGTGAAACATAAAGAGGACCAAAAAGTAGATATATTTTACTGAAGAATGTATAGAAGTTGGCAACTGATTGCATGTGGCAAAAAAAAAAGAGGATATTAACAAAAATGGCATAATAGAAACAAAGTATCAAACTAGCTGCTTATTAGATATATATGCAGGGTTTTTTCCACATAATTCACATAGTAAAAGTGTTGTTAAACATAATAATAAATAAAATAATAAGAGACTTGGAATTTACTAGTTTAAAAGTAAATGCTATATATGCCACTGATTCACTGATCTTAGTTTAATTTTGCATATGGAAACATAACTTCTTAAATTCCAGTTACAAAGATTGTCAGAATTTTAAAAATGCCACTTTCTTTCATTGTGTAAACATACCTTGCATTTTTTAGGAATAAAATAAATTAAATTTATTCCTTAAATTTTTTTCCTGGATACTGGACAATCAATTATTTAAGATTTACGTGCTTTGGATGTGTTGGTTCCAGAATTGCTGACAATGCTAGATTGGAGAGGCAATAAATGCTAAGTCGCATACAAAAGATTTGAATGAAGCTGTTATGGTTATCAACATCATGTCTGAAAATGACCTTTTTGATTTGTTTTTAAATTTAGATAGTTGTATGATACAAGGAAATGAGATGACTAATTTATATTTAATTTTATATTTAAAGGAAATTTGAGCATTTACATTCTCTTTTAAAGTAAATGCTATGTGTATCTGTCTCTGAGCAGGTCTTTGCTTCAAACTTTTGGCTGACACTAGTTGGTAAAAACAGCAAAGGGACTACCTACTAAAGGAATGTTCAATCTAGTTCTCCTGACAGTCAAAGGATTCGATTATCATTTTCTAAGTATCACATTCTTTTTGTTCAATCACTATGATTCAGGAACAATCTTCAAAGTTGACTTTGAAATACTGAAACAAAGACAAAATAGGAAACACAGCCCTAAATCTGTCCTAGTTAACAGTATTACCATCATCAGAATCTCCTCCCCGAATTTTGGGATGAGATCAGACAAGGCTAGGGAGATGGCCAAATGTAGAATGGTAAAATGCTTTGTCTCCTAGAACTCATCAAAATGAAAAGAAAACTTGACCTTCAGTTTCAGTGTCCCTTTCTGTAAAGAGTATTAGCACTTTAAATAGCATACTGAATTCCAGTTAGGAATTGTGTCTTATGAACTGAATGATTTTTCTTTTCAAAGGTATTGATAACAAGGGTCATGAAGGAGGAGAATGTGCTTATTTTTTCAACTCACTGTCAAATCTCTTCCCCATTTTCTAGATTATGTTCCTTTTTTTGATTGATGGACCTATTATATTTCTGGGAATAAAAGCCAAACACACACATCATACAGAGGTTTGCTTTAGGCACACAAATTCAAGTTCTGTTTAACACAGTGGGGTCACCAAACATCTAGTAAGGCCTTTGCCAATGTTTGTGTTTTCTTGCAATTAGATGAAAATCAAAGCCATGTGGACACCAACAGGGAAAACAGCAGGTCTCAATGTGTGTTTGGCAGTGCACGTTCTCCACTTCTCTTGTACTCTTTTATTTTTTTTGACAATGTAACCAAAGATTTATTTTATTTTATTATTTGTGTTGTGGTGGTGGTCTTAAACATTTTTCTCCCATTTTACTTATATTGCTTATCTACAATTCCCAGGTGGCTTCAGAAAAGAAAATCAAACTTCTCTCTGTAATAAGTCTACTTCCCTTACTGTTTAAATACAGAAGACAATATAGCAGGTGCCTAAAAAACTGTGGGAAGACATTAAACAAAAGGCAAATATAAAGAATTTTTGACTTTATGCTCCACCAAAGGTTTTTCCAGGAAATGAAAGCAATACAGGCATAACAAAAGTATATAAGAAAAAAATATGTGCACATATACATGCAAGCATCCATGCGAAATTTAATTTTTAAAACATGCAGTTATGGCAGTAGGAATTAATAAATCTCTATTTAATAGAAAACTTATTATATTTCTTTTTCAACTAAATATTACAATGTAAAGGCTGGTGATGCCAACAATTGTAAGTGACTAATATAAATTCAAGCATAATAAATCTTTATTACTTTTAAATTTTCTCAGAGTTTCATTTAATGCTTTGTTTGTTTTACCTTTGGTTCTCATAAGGGAAGTTGAATATAAAGAAATAGTTGGCAAGGCATGGTGGCTCATGCCTCTATTCCCAGCACTTTGGAAGACCTAAGTGGGTGGATCAGTTGAGCTCAGGAGACCAGACTGGGCAACATAGTGAAACCTAGTCTCTAGAAAAAACACAAACATTAGTGGACATGGTGGTGTGGACCTGTAACCCAGCTACTGGGGAGGCTGAGGCAGGAAGATCACCTGAGTTGGGGATGTCCAGGCTGCAGTGAGACATGATTGTGAGACATGATTGACTGTGAGTGAGACATGATCGACTGCACTGTAGAGCCTGCATAACAGAATCAGACCCCATCTCAAAAAAAAAAAAAAAAAAGAAGAAGAAGAAAGAAATAAGAGATATTTCCTTTCCTTTGGTAACAAAAACATAGCCCTCAAATTCAATGTATAAACTGTAAGGATTAAAATTCCACTGAAGTCTTGACAGGTTCAATTTTGTTAAAAAATTTTAAAATTCACCTTCTCTTTCTATCTCAACTTTAAAAAATACATCTTAGTGGACTTTTTAATCTAAAGGAAGAAAAATTAAATAGATATGAGGCACCTCAACGTAGCTGTAATGACTTTGATTTGATATTCATCCAAACTAAATTATTTCATTCACATATTGAGTTCACATTGAATTCAGTGGCAGACAGTGAAGGAATGTAGAACAGATCAAGAGTAATGTCGATAAAGGAAGGAGTGGGCATAGAATTTCATTGTGAAATATGACGCCATCCTTTAAAAATTATTTCAAGAATTGCTGACAATGTTGTATCTAAAATAGTAGACTTTGATAAACAACAAATATAAATATGAGTCTCTAGGAAAGAAAACCGTATTTAAAGCTCTCTGATTTATTACCTATAGTTTGATGGATTCATATTTTATTAGATAATGATAGCTAATTATTTTTTGACAAAAATCATGTTAATACTTTATCTGATTCATCCTCAGAATGGCTCTTTAAAGATACAGGGCTCAGAATATGAGTAAAAGTTCAGAGAAATAGAAGACAAGGCAGCTAGAATTCAAAGGTAGTCCACTTTCCCCACCAAAAAAAACCCCTTTCCATCCACACCCTAACTCAGAGCAGCTCTTATTCTTCAAGAATATGTTGTACTGTTTTAGGACCTTAGCGAGGTTTTGATGTTTCAACTTTTTAATTGCAAGGAACTATATTTGCATCATTTAAAAATGCCATAATCATGTATTTCCAAGGATCTAAATATTTGATGTCATTTATCTCACCATCAATCTACATTTAATATTTAAAATAAACAATTTGTGCTGCATAGAATAATATGTAATGTTTAAAAACTATATTTATTTTTTATAACATGCACACAGAACAAGGAATTACTTTATGTGTTTGACTCACTATGCTTCATATCATAGTCAGGCTATTTTTATCTCTTGATGAAAGTAAAAATAAAGTTTGCATTACCTTAGTTTATTATTAACTAAACTTGTCACGTTCTCTTAATTTTTCATTCCAAATCATCCAAAGCCTAGAATCATAGCATTTTGGTTGTTTCAATATGAATTTTTCAAGCTTTATTGAGGTATAATTGACAAACAAAAGATGTATATATTGAAGATGTACAATGTAATTATGAAATAATTATCTCAATCAAGGTAATTAACACATTCTTCAACTCATCAAAAAACATCACTCCCATTTTTAAAAATTTTTCCTTACTCTTAAGGCAATTAAAAAAATTTTTAGTATATTCCATTTGCTTTGAATGTAAAGTATTTCTGTTTTTCAGTAATTCCAAAAGAGCATGTATTTCAGAAGTCTTTCTAATTGGAAGAATGGATTGTGATAAACTGTATACCTCAGTCACCAGTCTAACAGATGATCTTACTTCTCAAATAATACAAATTTTCACTTTACTAAATTTCCATATCACTTCATTCAATTTGTTTAATTTTTTTTCCCTATCTATATATTCGTTTACCTTGAAAAGTGGTCAAACTACATTTTCAGATTTATGATTATGTGTATTACTTGGAGGAAAATGTATATGAAGTGAAATTAGCACCACCAGTATTCTGTTCAGTGTACCATTGTGTAGACCAGCCACGCCAAGCACTCAAATGCTGTTCGTTTACAACTGATTTACCATAGTATCTGAAAACTCAGCATGTACTTTTGTGGTTTGCATTAGAAAGTTCTTATAAGACAATGAGAAGGACTATTTAATTTGACTAGTTAATTTTTAAACTCATAAAAATATACAAAAATAATAATAACAGGTTTCAATGCTGGGTTTAGAAAAATGGTAACAAAAGAGAAATTTTACTTTTGTATTCCAGTATCTCTCTGAGAATCATCACTGCACCACATGTAGATACAATGTGTAGTCCAATTTTCCCATGCTTCAGGAAATAGATACTTCCATCTTTATTGCTTAAAAATTTAATGAATCTTAAAATGTTTACATAGTTAATCTTTTTTTTAATATATATTTTTTAAGGCAGTGTCTCATTATATTGCCAAGGCTGGATTTGAACTCCTGGGCTCAGAAGATCTTTCTATCTCAGCTTCCCTAGTAGCTGGGGCTACAGGTGTGGCCCACCATGCCCAGCTAATCTTTAAACAAATTTTAAGTAAATTTTTCTAAAAAATATTGAATGTTTAAACGAATTAAATTTATGCTACCCAATTACACAAATAAGTGACACCCATAAAGTAATTTACATCATTTTAAAATAGTCAGGACATAAGATATTTAATCTAATCAATGCATTTTATAAATGAACACAATGAGGTCACAGAAGTTCAAAGACCATTTGGGGGGCCAAGGCGGATGGATCACTTGAGGTCAGGAGTTCAAGACCAGCCTGGCCAACATGGCGAAATCCTGTCTGTACTAAAAACACAGAAATTAGCCAGACCTGGAGGTGCACGCCTGTAGTCCCAGCTACTAGGGAGGCTGAGGAAGGAGAACTGCTTGAACCCGGGAGGTGGAGTTTGCAGTGAGCAGAGATTGCACCACTGCACTCTAGCCTGGGCAACACAGCAAGACTCCATCAAAAAAACAAAACAAAACAAAACAAAAACAAAAAAAACCATGCCAGTGTGTTCTCTGAACTTGGCTTATATATTGTTTGGTGGGCATGTGAATTATTACAGCCATTTTAGAAAAGAGTATGAGGTTCCACAAAAAAACTGTATAATCCAGCAATCCCACTACTGGGTACATATCTAAAAGAAAGGAAATCAGTAAGCTAAAGAGCTTACACACTCCTCCCATGTTTATTGGAGCACTATTTGCAATAGCCAAGAAATGGAAAAACCTATGTGTCCTTCCATAAATGAATGGATAAAGAAAATGTGGTATATATACATCCAGTGAAGTACTATTCAGCTGTTAAAAAAAAATATAATCTTCTCATTTGCAGCAACTTGGATGAGCCTGGAGGACATTATGTTAAGTGAAGTAAGCCAGGCACAGAATGACAAATACTACATTTTCACTCGTATGTGGGAGCTTAAAGAGGTGATCTCATGGAATTAGAGAGTAGAATAGTAATTGCCAAACTGGAAAGGGTAGGCGGGAGGACAGGATAGGGAGTGGTTCATTAATGGGTACAAAACTACAGTTAGATAGGAGCAATAGGTTCTTGTGTTCTATAGCACAGCACGGTGACCACAGTTAACAATAATTTACTGTATATTTCAAAATAGCTAGGAAAGAGGATTTTGACTGTTCCCAACATAAAGAAATGATAACTGTTTGAGGTGATGAATATGCCAATTATCTTCATTTGATCACTGCACACTATATACACGTATAAAAATACCATACTATACCCCATAAATATGTACAATTATTATCAATAAAAAATTAAAAATAATAAAGATAGATGCACAAACACAAAATAAATGCAATGAAAACCACAATGAGAAACTACTTCACAAAAACTAGGATGGCAATGATAAAAAATATATAATGACAAATGTTAGCAAGGATATTGAGAACTTGGAACCCACGCATGTTGCTGGTGAGAATGTAAAATGATTTTAGCTGCTGTGGAAAACAGTGAGGCTATTCCTCAAAAAGTTATACATACTGTTACCATGTGATCTAGCAATTCCACTTGTAGATATGTACCAACGACAAATGAAAACATGCCCATGTAAAAGCTTATACATGAATATTCATAGTACTACTCACAATAACCAAAAAGTAGAAAAAATCTAAATGGCCATTGATTGATAAATGGTGTATAAATTGTGGCATATCCATTCAATGGGATATTATTTGGCAATAAAGAGGAGTGAAGTAATGATACATGCTAAAATTGAATGAACTTTGAAAACATGCTAAGTGAAAAGTCACAAAAGAACAGAAATTATATAATTTCATTGATATGTCGATAGGCAAATCGATACAGGCAAGAATTTGATTAGTGCTTGCTTAGGGTGAGAAGTGGGAGAGAATGGGGTGTAAGAGCTAGTGGTTTCCTTTAGGGAAGATGAAAAAATTCCGTTATTAGATTGTGATGATAATTATACCACCTTGTAAATGTACATGGCATTGTATACTTAAAATTGGTGAATTTTATGGTATGTAAATTATACATCAATAAAGCTGTTTTTACAACCAAAAACCAAACCAAACCAACCAAACAAAAAAACTGTCTGTGTCCTTGGCTCATCTAGAATCCGAGGACCTCTTCTTTGATCTTAAATACCCTTGAAGAGGGTTATCTTTTATATTGCTTTCCATGTTATACTCTTTTCATTTTTAGATTTTACACATTTAAAAGTTGTTTTTTTTTTCCTATTTATCTTAACTGTGTCTAAGGAGCCATAATATTCTGAGTACTAGCCAGGGGATTCACACAGCTGAAGCTTCACCTTCCTTTCACGTGACAGCCTTCAAATTGTCTCCTTTCCCAAATTCCTACAGCAACACCCACAACTCCCGTGGCATGGTAAGTCCTCTCACCAGAATAGCAGTTCTCTTCTGAAGTAAGCCCTTTTAAAAATTAACTATTCATTTGAAATCTGAACATACTTTTATGGAAGTATTAAATGGGTCTATTGCTACTGTTGTTTCATGTACTAAACTTCAAGTAAATATGTTACCTCTACTGGACCACTTCATTCAGAGATGAACATTTAACTGTGGATTAGATGACTGTACCCTCTTGAAAAGATTTTACATGAGCAGATTGAGAAATAATTTGGAACAGAAAATCCTTTTCTTTGCCCCTAAAATCTTAAAGCATTATTTGTCTAATCATTGTATTGTATTTCTTTTACTTTGAAAAGGTCAGGTACCTAAATGAGAGCTAACATTTCTGATAAGATTGCTGATTAACTATAAACCTATGTTGATGTTCCATTAAAAACTGGACTGTAAGAGTTAGATTGTATACCACATATTGTTCCTGCTGGTATCAAGGAATCAATCATAAATTATTCTCAATAAACTCCTTTCTGTGTGTTATATTACCTTGGAATGATTTTTGTAGCATCTCATTATTTATCGTATTATATTCAATGAGCTATAAGATAAAAATTTTAGATAATAAATTTTTAGATACATAAATAATTTTTTAGGTAATATTACTTAGTATTTCTTTGTGTAAAGCATAAAACAGAATTTATTATTTGCATGATATAGATTTGCATTTCAAATTATTTATCTGTTCTTAATATATTTTACCCATTATTCCAACATATAATATTTGCACATAGCCAGTACAGAAATCTTGGGATCATAAGACTAAGGATTATCAGTGGTGTATCTTACATTCAATTTTTATTTTAAATTTATTTTACTGAATTCCTTTTCCTTCTGCATTGCCAACTAATTTTCATGACCTATCAGAAAAATGTTAAAAATTACGTAATGCTGTCTCTTCCATTAAAAAATAATTTATCTCATAAAACATTGAACATTTCCATTTGGAAATTTGTGTTACCATGTTCTTTCAAGTTGCAAAGGCAGGTAGTATTACCCCATAAAATTTTTAAAATAAGGAAGGGCCATCCAGAAATATAATAGAAGATGATTTTCTCCCCGTAAGTTGTTTAGTCTTTATTTATTACTAGGCTAACATTACTGACATCTGACACTGGCCATTCCTCAGTTCAAAAGTGAAAAGCCTCTTAGAAAGCAAAACCGTTCCTCCATTTTAGTTCCCTAAAGAGTTTATTCCTTTGGGCAAAATAGTCATGTGGAGCACCTGTGGTGCAAGTGCTAAAGAAATATCAAGCAAAACCCAGCCACAGCTGTGCTGTAATCATTGAAGTGTGCCCAGTGCATAATGGCACATTAGGTAGGCATTGATCTCTGCCAGTTTATGAGGTCTCTTACCGAATTAGGCAGACTTTTTCACTGAAACCCATGGAGCAGAAATTGCTACTTCTAAGCTAATCCATTTTCAAATTACCAACCAATTGTGACTGATGACCTCACTACAAATCTGCTTATCTACCTCTAACCACTCAACAAGCAAGGGAGAATAGATCATTATTTCCCTCTATTTTCAAATCTTTACAAAAGAAAACTCCTCTTGCCATTCTTAATCACCTTCAATGCCACTGCAGCTGTGAAGATAAGCATGTTAAATGTTAAATGCTGCCTAATTGTCAGTGCTTATTTGTAAGGAAAATGAGAAGGTAGAATATCTACTTACTATGGCACATGGTTTTATTAAGATTTAGTTGAAAAATTTCTGCTAAGCATTATTATTAATTTCATGTATTTATTAAAAATAATTTATTCAGAATTGAGTGATATTGAATACTTGACTAAAAAAAAAAAACGATTACCACATTATGCAACCATTTCTTGGTGTAAACTCTGGGTCTAGTTTAATCACCTGAGTAGATAAAACTCAAAACATGTAAGAGAAGAGCCTTTATTCTGAAAATAGAAGCAATCCTCCATACTTTAGTTAATTGAAGCCAATACTACGTAAAAATCTGTAGGAGGTAGAAAATGCACAAATTGGGGTTGGGCAAAATCTATTCCTAAACTCTCCCCAACAAACTTTACCACAGAGGATAACATTAGTGACGTTATGGTCCACAAAACTTGATAGTTTCAAGAATGTGTAAAGAAAGAATGTAGTAAAGTGATGCTGACTTGCATTTCTATTAGAAATTATATTTTATTTTACATTTCAAAGGCCTTAGGACATATTTTAAATCAATATTTTAACATATATTTTATAGGTTATTTATGTTGTGAAAAACATATTGCCCTATTCTCTGAAAGTTTTTCATGTTGACCATGTAGATGAGGCCTAAATGGTAAATATATTAATGTATGTATAAGAAACTAATTTACATGTTTGTTGCATTACATTATATAGAAGTAGAAATTTAAAAACAGTTCTAGCAAAATTGTAGAATTTCTGTTTACAGATTCATTGGACAAAGCACTAGTTATAAAAACTTGGTTTTTGCAGGGTGATGGATAAGGAAGAAAAATAATTATTTCTATGTCTATACCTAAAGCACATTTTAAAAAATGTTTCTAACTTGAACATAATTAAAATTCAAAGATCTGTACCAACCATTGCTGTGACGCATCTGCCTAGTTGTTTTATCCGTACCCTATGCCATGGACTGACATAATTACCTATTCAGAGCCAGTTAGGAACACTTTGTTTTGTTGAAAGAATAGCTTCTCAATGGAGTTGGAATTGCTTTCTCATATTTGCCTTTTGATTGATATAACTATGTCAGAGTTTCTTTCTGAACATGAATCAATAATTTTTTTTTGTATTTGGCATGTAGACTAGGGCAAGCCATTTGTAAAGCAAGACAATATTATCTACTCCAACCTACCTACTAATAGACATGAGAAAAGTATCAAATTAATTTTCAGATGCAAAAAATATAACAATTACATATTTTGTTAAAAATCTTAATTTTAAAAACAACATTAAATTCTTAACTATCTCTACAAGTGGATGGGGAGAAGTCACAGTTCCATAAATTATAAACACTAGTAATACAAAAATATTTCAAGTTCATTTCTCTCATTATTTTACAGCATTTCTTTATGTTTTTGTTACAATTAATATTTTCAAGCAAAATCTTAATAGGTTTACCTAAATTAGTCAAAATATAAGAATCCGTGTAAGGGGAAAAATTAAAAACAATCCGTATATGAACTTCATTTCTTATGCTACAGGTTTCCAAGGTTAACAACAGCCTTTTCCATACCCTTCTTCACATAGATGAAAAGATGTATACTTATATATCATACACATTGAATTTGTTATTTGTTTAAAAAACAGTATTTCAGTGTCACAATAAAAACACTGTTTAGCAAAAATGGCTTTTTCACAAAACATGTCAAAAGAAAGCCTCCAGTCAAATGTATGGATCTGACAAACACTTTCAATCAAGGTAAAATATTCAATAATATGGATCAAAACCACAATACTTAACTTTTCCCCAGTGATGAACATTTTGTATATTTTTGGAGGGTTTTTTACTTCTCTCCTTGTCTATTTGTCTTGCTAGTTATTATTTTATTAAGATTATACATGTTTATTTTAGTAGATATTCCTTTTCATGAATTAATAGCAATTTTGGATTTTTACAAGCCATGAGCGTGCCTACTTCCTGGCACCATAGGAAACACTGATTGGCTTCCCCACTTTTAATTTTCACTGACCTGAAGGAAGGAAAACTATCTCATTACCGCTGTAGTTGGCAGTTTCCTACTAGTAAGCTTTAGAACCTTTCATATGTTTGCTGCATATTTTAGCCTGGTTTGCAATAATCCCTTATTTATATGATTTGCTCAGTTTTATATTAGGATATTTGTCCATATTTATCACCATAATAAAATAAATTAAATTCCTATATTCTTCTCATGGGAGTTACATGAAGGCTAAATGAAGACTGAGAAGTGGGCGCTCTGCCATTTTAGCACTTAACATATTTCATTGAAAATTTTATAATATTGCTCTCATGATGGCATATTTTGATTGTAGGACATTTATTTTTACTCCTCTTTTACTCCAATAATTTATAATAATACTTGTAATCCTCTAAATATTCAGAAAATAAAGGTTGAACTGGTAAAATGGTGAGAATACATCTTCAATCAAACTGTCAGATACTTTGATCAAGCTGCGAGTGAAGGAATCACATCTCATATATACGTGTCCCCCCACAGAAAGTTGTTCAGAAAATACTTCTGAGTTAATTGTAATTGGTTGCTCAATCTTGAAATCTTTTTCCTAACCTTCCCATTTCCTCCCTGGAGGTAACAATAGGTCAGCTTCAAGTTTAAATCTGTCAGTGGAGAATGCTGGGGGCCCTTCTTTCCTGCTGCTCTCTGTAGAATCTTTATATAGCAAAAAGTTTTTAATGTTAATTTTTCTTAGTTTCCTTACTTTTAGTATTATGTTCATTCCATCCAAACTTGGCAATTGAAGACTGTGTGGAATTTCAACTAACACATCTCAGATGTGCATGATCTCAGCCTGTGGGATATAAAAGGATTTGATTTAGAAGGTACCTCTGTCCAACTTTGTAGTCTAGACTAGCAATTGGTCTAGAATATTTCTATAAGACAATGGTCTCTTGGTTCAAAATAGACATTAATCAAAATGCTGACAGTATCATTTTGTTGTTAAATGAGTGACATTAGATTCATTATTTTTTTTTTATATCCTTGCATTAAGCCAACCAGGCTGTAGAGGTAAAGATTTCCGTCATTCACAAAATGTGAATGTTGCAATTTATCTTTTGCTTGGGGCAAAATTTTTCAAAAGAATACATTTTTAAGTTTGGAGAATATCTGAAATGAAATCCGCATGTTTGCAGTCGGAAAACTGTCTTCGCAGGTCTCAAAATTAGGTTTCCATAACTAGGCTTTCTATTGACTGTGTGATTTGGGACAAATCAGCCTGCCTTTCTTTTCTCAATTCTTTCGTCCTTATACTTAAATAAATTATGCAGAACAACCTATAAAATCTATTCTAAGTCTAATTTTGTTGTCTTTGGTTTAAAAAAGAAGCAACTAATAAGTTAACAAATTTGTAACTATGCCCTCTAATATTCAAGCCAAAGTTTAAAAAATGATTGTTTTTCAACTACATTTTGTACCTCTTCTTGGTGGCATTTTACTCTCAGTTATAATAAAATACTTTCATTATGATTCCGAAAATAAATAAACCAATATATTGAGGGTAATGATTGTAAAAGCTTTTGATAACATATTACCATGTCTGGATTTGGTAACTTAAGTTATATCTATACATCCACAATTCAAAGCCACTTTTACAATACACTACTCATGTTGTGTTAGAAGCAGCAAGAAATCATGAAAATGATTCAGCAAAATACATCATATTTAGATGTAAGCTTATTTAATCACACAATCAAGTTACTAATTGAGCAACTACAAGAGATAAAACAGTACACAGAGAATTCCTGACTTAAGAGAAAAATGTAATATATAGAAGACCTGTCTTAAGAAACAAGTATATTCCCACTTCAGTTACCTGAGTAGCTGGGATTAGTGTAAAATATGAACGTATTTTTTTTTGTGGTGGTGCTATTTAGCTAAGATATGAAGGTTTGTATAGCGTTAGCTAGATTAGAGGATGAGATTAAAATTAGGCATTTTGACAAACCAATCATATGATGTAATTATATCAAAATGGCCGCTTCACATGTGTACCCTCTTTGTAATCATAAATTTGAGCAACACGCTTATCTACTAGTTTAGAAATTACATGACATTCATGGTTAGAGGTGGAAGGATATTTGTTTTACATATTATCCAGTAATAAAAATTTAAATTCCTCATTCCATCAGGTCTCATTGCTTTCTTGAATGAATCTGTAGCAGAGTGGCAAGCCTATGTAGCAAGTTAGAGTAGTGTTGCTTTACAGGGGCTTCTTTACCACTTAAAAAAGAAATTTGGGATGTTATTTAAATTTATTATAAAACTGCAATTGATTTTTTTCTAATGGTATAAACAACTAGAATCTAGATGTCCTGAAACATTTTTATGATTGCATATGCTTTTATTTTACTCATCTTTGTACCTCCATACTCTTTGTGATAGCTTTTAAATCAATATCCAAGGGAAATTTCACATTGTGAGTAGCAAATTCTACAAGATGTTAAGGGAACAATCTTTTAAAATGTCATTATTATTTTATAAAAAAAATGTTTTTATGGCAAAATTCCAATCAAAATGTCACACATTGATGAAATGATATTTAAAGGTTTAAAACCACTTCAAATTATGTCAATTTTGTCATAGTATTCAGTAAGATGGCTTTCTAAAAACAGTTTGATATTCTTTTCTGAGATTTATTTTTATTTTTATTTTTGGGATGGAGTTTCGATCTTGTTGCCCAGGCTGGAGTACAATGGCACAATCTCAGCTCACTGCAACATCCGCCTCCCAGGTTCAAGTGATTCTCCTGCCTCAGCCTGCTGAGTAGCTGGGATTACAGGCATGCGCCACCATGCCCGGCTAACTTTGTATTTTTAGTAGAGACGGAGTTTCACTATTTTGGTCAGGCTGGTCTCAAACTTCTGACCTCAGGTGATCTGCCGGCCTTGGCCTCCCAAAGTTCTGGGATTACAGGTGTGAGCCACCGTGCCCAGCCGAGTTTTTAATCACACTTGGTAAAGCAGTACTTAAAATACAGACAGTTCAGTAATTTTATCTGAACTTCTCTGCCCTTCTGATTGAAAAATAATTCCATAATTTGATCTTAATTTTTTTGACTTCACAATTTTAGAAACCAAACAGAATTGTCCTTAACAAAGAAAGCTCAAGGGCACTTGCAAACACATATTTAGAATAAAATGAGATAAAATTCCCTAAAACTTTGAGGGTCTACTTTTCAACTTTCATAGTATAGATGAAAATAAATTGTTCCAGAATACCAATCAAAATAACTAATCTACATAGGTCTTTGTGCAATGATCTACAAGTCTCAATTTTGTTAATACCCTGCTGCTCTATAATTATTTCTTTACCTTTGTTATTATAAGTTCTGGCTAACTGTTGGTTACATTTCCACTAAGAAAGAGGGAGTAGGACAGTTTTCATAGCAACTGTCTCAGACCTCAGGCAAATTCCCAGTGACTGTGGGTAGCACTCCTAGACATAAATTGTTGCAAAGTCCAGCTGTAGCTCAACAGGGATATAGTTTTAATGAAACCCAGATGAGCTGCAACTGTATTTCAGTCTATACTCCCACTTCAGCTCTAGTCAATTACCTATGGTAATAGGAGGACAGAAATAACATGAGTAATGAAATCTGCAGATAATCCCAAGGCATCATTTTAGCCAATAATTCCCAATCTCTCCTGTATTAAACCTCTTACTAAAACTTCTTAGCATGTATTAAAATGGACAGATGTGAATCTTTGTCTCTTCCTGTGGTAAAGATGTCAATAAGTTATAAAATGATCCTAGAAATATGGCCATAAAGGAGGGAGAACTGATTCATCACTGGTACTGTAGATATTTATTTTTGAGAAACTCAGGAAATTATTTCTTCTGCCTATCAAACCTACGGAAACATATTGCCATCATTCATAATAACATATGAGTTAAATAAACCTATGAAAATTATGTAATTATTTATTAAGAACATAATATGAATTCTAATGAAACCAGACAGATTAAGCACAAAAGTCAATCTCCTCTCCCATTCTTAACCCCAGGAAAGGCATAGCAGAGAATTAAAACAAATAAACAAACAAATATATTCATCCATTAAGACAAGGAGGAAAGATAAAAGTGACCACCTCAACATAAGATTTCAAGGAACTGGGGGAATAATGGATTCACATAAAATTTATTAATTTAGCAAATGGGAGTTAGAGACCTCTCAGGATAAGCAAGCCCATTCACTCTAAGGAAACTGGGAGATAATCAGCACTAACGGCATACTCTACCAGAAGAAGAGATGAGGAGGCAACAGTTCCCTATACCTTGTTCCAAAAATATCAGTAATCAGCAGATATTTCTCCTTTGCCAACTATTGAAGAAACTAAAAAGCACTGAAGAACTTTCTACATATTATCTGTGATGGTTAATATTGAGGGTCAACTTGATTGGCTTAAAGAATGCAAAGTATTGTTCCTGGGTGTTTCTGTGAGGGTGTTGCCAAAGGAGATTAACATTTGAGTCAGTGGACTGGGAAAAGCAGACTCATCCTCAACCTGGGTGGGCACCATCCAATAAGCTGCCAGCAAAACTAGAATAAAGCAGGCAGGAGACGATGGAAGAGGAGACTTGGTGAGTCTTCCAGCCTTGATCTTTCTAATGGGCTAGATGCTTCCTGCACTTGAACATCAGACTCCAAGTTCTTCAGCTTTTGGACTCTTGGACTTACTCAGTGGTTTGCCAGGGGCTCTTGGGCCTTCAGCTACAGACTGAAGGTTGCACTGTCAGCTTCCCTACTTTTGAGGTTTTGGAAGTCAAACTGATCCACCACTGGCTTCCTTGCTTCTTAACTTGCAGAACTTGCAGACAGCCTATTGTGGGGCTTTACCTTGTGATCCTGTGAGTCAATTCTTTTTAATAAACTCCCTTTCATAAAGATATAAAACAGTGTGTATATATATATATATATCTCCATATATATATCTCCATATATATATCTATCTCCATATATATATCTCCATATATATATATATCTCCATATATATGTATCTCTCTCTCTCTCTCTCTCTCTCTCCCTCTATATATATATATATATACACACATCTCCTACTAGTTCTGTGCCTCTAGAGAGCCCTGATTAATCATTTGGTAGTCCAGAGTAAAAAGACGGATGCACTTATTGGTCAATATAAACAGCAGTCTAATAATCCACAAAACACCCTCTAACCTCTTCCATACCCAGTCTAACTCCCACCCAACAGAGTACTTTCAAAAATGGCTTGATTTCTCACTTATAAATACCAATGGACAGCTTAGAATTACTTGACCATGAGGAAAGCTGATAATGTAAATAATGAACAAAACCCTCCAAAATCTCTAATATAAAGAGAACTTGGAGGAAATAATGAGGAACGTGAAGACCATGTCAAATCCAAACTATAAATGACATTCTCTAGCAGTAAGAAAATACATTTAATCTATTAAAAACAAACAAGCAAACAAATGAATAAGACTAGATCACCTGAGGTCAGGAGTTTGAGACCAGCCTGGCCAACGTGGTGAAACCTCGTCTCTACTAAAAATACAAAAAAATTAACCAGGCATGGCGGCAGATGCCTGTAATCCCAGCTGCTTGGCAGGCTGAGGCAGGAGAATTGCTTGAACCAGGGAGGCGGAGGTTGTGGTGAGCCGAGATCATGACATTGCACTCCAGCCTGGGTGACAAGAGTGAGACTCAGTCACAAAAAAAAAAAAAAAAAAAGAAAGAAAAAGAAACTTAGGAATTAAAACTATGATAACTGAAATAAGAACTTTAGTAAAAGTGTTGGAAGATAAAGTCAAGAAAATTTTTCATAAAGGAGAAAATAAAATAGAAAAAAAAACAAAATTAGTGGATCAATTAAAGAAGTCAAATATCATATTTTTAGGACTAACAGACTAGAAGGAAGAATATATATGCATATATTTCATATATATACATTTCATACACATATACACATCTTGATATAAATACACAGAAAATTTCCCACAACTGAAGGGAATGAGTTTTCAGGTGGAAAGCATGTACTTAATCTGTAGTATAATGAAAACAAAATAAAGCAAATCCCAAAAGGCATAACATAATTACACTTGAAAATATCAGTGATAAAAATAAAATTCTAAAAGCTTTTTATTTTGGTAGGGGCTACATGTTACACAGAAACAGAAATCAGAATATATTAAATGTTCAACAGCAGTACTACACATATGGCTTAAAATGAAGACACAAATAATAAGCATGAGAATGCTGGAATGACTATATGAATGCCAGCTAAAATAGACATAAAAGCAAAAACATTATCAAATATCAAAATAAAAAGCAGATAATAACAAAATAGTCAATTTATAAGTCTAAAAAATAATTACAAAGTACAAAGATACTTGACTGAATTGAAGGAAGAGAAGGAACATTGCATAGTTATTAAAAGAGATTTTATTTAAAAAAAAGAACCAAAAATATTAATGAAATCTTGGTGCATCGAGATAATGCCTTGAAGCATCTTGACCTAATTGATATTTTTAAAGGATATAGTCATTAACTGAAAAGTACACAATGTGAGTGGACCAGTCACTTAGTTCGACACATTCTGGGCCTTAAAACAACTCTGAATAGATTTAAATTATTTCTATCAGAGTATGTTCTCTGACCATAGATTTAGAAATTAATAGTAAAAAGATATCCAGAGAAACATTAATTATTTTATGGATTAAAAAATTCAATAAAAATTCAGGAGATGTTTTTCCTGCAGGGGAGGGGAGTTAAATGGATCAAAAACAGATTATAAACTTTGAAAACTACAAGAATAAAACTCTTAGAAGAAAACATCAGAGAAAACTTTTTAACCTTGGGGTAAGCAAAGGCTTCCTAGTACTCAATAGCACAAGTAAAAAAATAAGAAGAAAAACATATTGTACTTCATCAATAATAAAATTTTTGCTTTTCAAAAGAAGCTGAAAAAGAAAATCACAGAATGGTAGAAAATATTCACAAAACACACACACACATGCATATATCAAAGAATTTGTCTTCAGAATGCATAAAGTGCTCCTATAATTCAATAATAAGGCCAGAAAGCCAATGAAAAAGATAAGTAAAAGTTTTGAATAGGTACTTAAGGAAAGAAGACATGTAGATGGTAAATAGGCAAATTAAAATATGCTCAATATCATCAGTTATCAGACATATGCAAATTAAAGACCTATTTGGATAGCACCACATACACATTAAAGATTCATGCCATGAAGTTTTGCTAGGATGTAGAGTAGGGGTCAGCAATTTTTTTGTTTTAAGGGCTGAATAGTAAATATCTGATGCTTTGAAGGCCATAAGGTCTCTTTCACAATTACTCAATTCTGCCTTTGTAATATGAAAGCAGCTTGTTCATAAACGAATGTGCCTGTGTTCCCATATACTTCTATTCACAAATAAACCTGAATTTGGCTTAAGTACTATAGTTTGCAGAGCCCTGATGCGGAATGACAGGAACTCTCACAAACTGCTCAGGGGAATGTCAAATGGTACAACCGTTTTGGAAAACTGTCATTTCTTCAAAGTTAAACATACACCTACCAAATCTCCCTGATTTTCCAATCCACGTCTTTTTCAAACTAAATGAAAACACATATTCATACAAAGACTTGTATACAAATACTCATAGGAAAGCAATTCACAAAGGACAAAAGATGGAAACAACTATATATCCATCAAGTGAATGAATAACCAAATGTAGTATATCCATATAGAATATCCATTCAATGGACTACCATTCAGTAATAAAAAAAATCAACTACTAATACACATAAGTCATAGATAAATGTATAAATTATTTGCTAAGTGAAAAAGTATACACTTACATTTATATACTTATTTATATGAAATACAAATTAATGCATAGTATCAAAAAAGGAAAGAGTTAGGAATAATTTTTCCTGTGTGATAAAAATATTCTAGATTTTGCTTGTGATAATGGTTTAAAGGATATACACTTCATTAAAACTCAAGAAACCTGAGCCCATTAAAATAGATGAAGTTTGTTTCATCTAAATTATTCCTCAATAAAGTTAATGAAGAAAAATAAATGTGTAGAGAGGACTCCGCCAAAACGTTTTTACATACCTCAAGGACTTTTTATGCAGAGTGTTTTGCCTTTCATACATGTATCAACAAATATTTAGCCAGCCATAAAATCCCCTTCCCCAAACAGAGTAGTTCTCTGAAGTGCTATATTAGATGTGTATTTTAAAAATTACTCAATCTTTCTTGCTCCTTTAATTTTACTCATTGACAGATTTTATTGGTAGAACGGGGGTCACACATTTGTTTTGTTCACGAAAACAAAAATTGCTGCTTATGACAATGATAATGAATAATGGAAATAATGGAAACTATCAAAAGAGTCCCAAAACAAATGAAAAAGAAAGTTTAGTAAAAGGGATATCTTGGGAGCCAGATCTTACTACATAAGGGAAACAAATGTAGAATTAGAGTTGGTGTTTGGGGATCTTGGTTTCTGTAATTTGTATTCATCTTTGCCCCAATTTCTTAATGTAAACACTGAGATGATTTTTCTAAGTTCCTTCTGGCTCAGAAATTCTGTAGACCTAAAAACACTTAGTACAGATTAGCAAAGAAAAAGAAAAAGAAAAGAACAGTTTGAGGAAAGAAGAACTAATTAGCCAGCAAAATAAATAGATAAATAACTACTCCATCTGAATTTGAAGTTGGACTTGTGCAAACATGCAATGAAGTTTTTCAAAGAGGTAGGTGACATTCCACACCTACTCACAGCCATTCCAATCCCCACCCTCACTGGGTGCAGAGGAGGTTAGGCATGTATGCCAGATTCTCTTTCGGGGCAAAACCAAGCCTCTAAGCACTCTTTATGACCCTGTGGGCACTAACATTTGAGTCAAGGCCGTGAGGTAAGAGCTTGCTACTTGACCGGGTCACTAAGGTTGCTTGTTACTAAAACTGAGTGTGAACTCAATTGCAGCATAATTTTCTTAGTATGCCCAAGCCATCTCTTTTTTTAAAAAAAATGTCTAGGAATTTTTAAACAGGGAAAACATGTTCTAGTTCCTTCAAACATCTTGTAAGTGGTTAGAAAACAGACTGAGATATAAATATGGTATAAGCTAAGACAACTTATCTGAAAATCAAAATTAAGTAACAATTAGTAACAGCTAAAATAATAGGTGAACATATTGACTAGTCTTCATTTGAAAAAAAAAAAGGTATTAGTTTGTTAAATACAGATAGTCCCCGACCTGGCACTGGTTCAATTTAGAAATTTTTCAACTTCACAATGATGCAGAAGTGATAGACATTCAACAGAAACTGTACTTGGAATACCCATACAACCATTCTGTTTGTCATTTTCAGTACAATATTCAATAAATTACATGAGATATTCAACATTGTATTATAAAATAGCTTTGTGTTAGATAATTTTGTCTGACTTTAGGTTAATATAAGTGTCTGAGCATACTTAATGTAGTTTAGGCTGTGCTGCCATGTTTGGTAGGTTAGTTGTATTAAATGCGTTTTCGACTTACTATATTTTCAATTATGTGTGGGTTTATCAGAATGTAACCCCATTGTAAGTTTGGGAGTATCCATCCTAACATTTTCTAGAGAATTTTAAATGCTCTTAATGGCTTTGTTTTAACTCAATTCACTGGCCATATTTCCATACCAAAGGTTCTTATTCTTTCTTTCACTCACTCACTGAAGTAATATTGCCTGTCCCTTTAAACTGGTGTGTGGAGGCAGGCATAAGGAAGAAAAAAATAGGGGTTCATAAAGCATTCAAAAGAAGCTCCTCATGGATGAAGGTGTTTAAAAACCAGAAACATGGGCAGAAATGCTTTAATTTACAAAATAGATTCATAACATGAAGTTTTGCTAGGATGTAGAGCAGGGGTCAGCAATTTTTTTGTTTTAAGGGCTGAATAGTAAATATCTGATGCTTTGAAGTCCATAAGGTCTCCTTCACAATTACTCAATAATACAATTTTTGAGAAGTGTTATAATAAATAATTACTTGCCAAATAAAGAATGCTTTTCAAAGAAAGAAGAAAAATATTTTTCACTTCAAAAAGCTTACAATCTTGAAAAGAAAAATAAGACTTTACTCAATCATTAAAAAAGTAGAATGGTTTTACGAATAAGATGAATATACTTTCAAAACTAACCACAGAAAAGAAAAACTATTTCAAAATTCAATTTATAAAGTATTTCAAAATATTTAGATAAGTTAAGCAAATAAAATTAAGTACTGCTGGCACTAATGTATCAATGAGAAAATGAAATTAGGTAGAATAATTTTCTCAAAGTCAAATATAGTGACACACCTTGGAATTCCAGTGCTATCTGAGTCTATAGTGCAATTTCACAAGCGATCATATCCCTACAAACCAGATCAAACTTATTCAATGACCATATAAAAATAAATGCATTTAAACTTAAAATAGCAAATTATATACTACTGTTGATCTTAGCATTCTGGTTTTTATCTATTTCCTTGTTATCCACATATTTTCAATTTCACTTTTAGCTAATGTGGAATTTTATTTACTTTCCACTTTTTAAATAAATGCTTGAAATCTTTATTATGAGATTGCTAGTAAGGCATTTGTATATATTTAATCTAAAATTTGTTTAGAATCAAACATATATGGAGCCATGTTGAGGGAAGAGTCAACAATGGCAGAACTATTCTCAGATTTGGGAGAGGAAATAAATGTATCATGGATCTTGCTATGTAGGCATTGCTTAAGCAAATAAGTTATTTACTGACAGAATTAGACAAGAAAAATATACTGTCTACGCTTTTAAATAATTATTTATATAAGCTATTTCAAAACTCACTTGATATGTTAACAATTCTTTTTTCAGGTTACTTCCAGTAAAAAAAAAAAAAAAGCAAAAATAGTAGATAAAATGAAGGTCTGATAGTCCCCAATTTGAGATGACCAGATATTTTCCAACCAATTGATATTTATGTATCCTAGCTTATATGTGTGTTACCCAAAACTTAGAATCATAAATTAAGTTCCACAAATAGTTCAATTAGATGCAATATCTGGAAGTAAAATTTCATCAGATTTTAGTCATATTTGCTAAATATTTTGAGTTTTCATTGGTTGACTTCTATCCACTATCCTGTTTCAATTCAATGTGTATATTGTCAATTGCATTCAGTGATTTAAGACTCATCCATATGAGCTCTTGATGTTTTTATAAATGAATTTTTAAGTACTGGCTAGATCCCAAATAAACATTAAAAGACAATGGTGGCAATGACAGTGACACCAGCTCTATGTATCACTTTGGCCTTTATACATTTGAAACAGATTTTAATTAGTACCCAGGAAATTTGTCTCATGAATCTTGCCTCCTTTACTGGTGAACTGGGAAGCAATTGTAACTGAAGGAGGAGAGGTTTATTATTTACTGAAAAAGTAAGCAAGTGTTTTGTCTTTGTGTGTATGATGCACTCATGAAAAATAACATCCAGGAAATTAGTATTGTGGAAGTCTGAAAATTATTCTAGCCAAATAATGAATATATACACATATATATTAATTCATATATGTATATATACATGTATTAATTTATATATACATGTGTGTATATATGTATGTATAAATGTACATGTATGTATTAGAGAAGTGGTACTACAAGTCATTTTTGAGGTTTTTAGTGCTCTACCAATTCTAAAGATATGAGGTATATTTCCCATAAAAGAATCAAATATCCATACCAATTCAATATGAACTCTAACAATTTCAACATACTTCTTAAATCAGTAAATTTTTGCCTTATATGATGTGATAAATTTTTTTTGTGTATGTAAATGATATTTCCATGTAGCATTATATATTTTTTCATAAATTTTTTACTTTTATTGGTACTAATATGAATAACCTAGGAAAAATGTATCAGTTCACATTAAATGGGGATAATCATCCAGTTAAATCAAAAGGAACCCAATAAAATTGTGAATTCTTCAGATTTACTAAAATAAAAATCAAAACAAAATTGACAAATGAATTTTATTCTACTCAAAGGTCCATAAGAAAAAAAGAAGCATATTTAAATTCAGTGTTATTTTCTCTTAACAGTCCCATACAATATAGATCTTCAAGAATATGTTTTCATTTCTTTGTTCATTGTAGCCATTCCTTTTAATAGCAACATATGTAACCGTGATGGAATGGTAAACTTAATGTTGCCAAATTTTCTTCCTACTTTATACAATGAAATGAATCCTGAGAAACCTTTATGGTTGAAAAGCATTAAAATAAGTAATACAGTATGTATACATTCAGATTTCCTGACTGTATTTTACTTTACAGGTGATATTTCAATCTCACATGTGAGGTCAAAATTAAGATGGTGTAACACATTATAAACTGACTTCACCCTGAGTGTGGCACTCAGCCTTTGAGTGGATTCTGGATGATAGTAACCATATGTGGGCCAATAAATGTAGAAGGAGCAGGTTAGCCAAAATATTTTTGTGGATAGCAATATGCTCACATTCCAGCTATCTCTGCTCTGTGGCTCCTGGGGAACCTCACAAACCCAGTGAAATTCCCAAGTCTGGAGATTTTTTTTTTTAAACCAAAATGGTAGCAATCCACCTCTTGACATTTCAAATGGCAATTCCTACAAACTGATTTTTATTTCAAATGTTGGAGCCCTCTCATCTACCCAAATAATTCTACAGAAGACTATATAAACAAAAAAAGAAAGTGCTCTTAATTTTTAAAAATTATCTTATAAATTATATGCCACAGAAGTGCAGTAGTATCTCTAAATTTTCACTAAAACTTATTAACATGCCAATGTGTATAAGTTTAATTATCTTACCTTCTTTTAGGAAAAATTCTTAATTCCTGAGATACAATGTGTTCAGTCCAACTTGTTATTGTAAGTACCTGGGCACTTTAAATACCCTATAAAAATAAACAAGTTTATTCTTAAAATTTAATATAAATCAAACAATTACCAATCAATTAATATATGCTCCACTTAATTAAAAGTCAGTTTAAATTTCTTCAAACAACCCCTCTATCTTGTGTGGGATAATGTAATGTATGAAGGTAAAGGAATTATGGAAGGCAGGTACTGAATTTGGCAAACATTTTATTCTGGCTTATCCAAACAAATGACAATTTGTAATCACTAATCGGATTTGATGGAGTTTGAAAAAATTCAGTATTTAGGCTCTGGCTCTACTAAAGAATAACTGATTTATTTGAGAATTAGGTAAAACACTAACATGCTCTATTGATTTGCCCATAATACTATGATGTCATTAATATTTTTCACCACTGGTGATGAAAGGCTCACACTGACAACCCAGCTAAGCAGTAATTTCATGACACTGTTAGTAAGTAACCGGATTTCACTTTAACAAAAGCTTTTCCTTTTTTTCTGGATAAAGGAAATATACCAAATATTTAAAGTAAATAGAAATTTTAAACAACAGAATTTTTCAAACATGAAATTTAAAATGTGCTTTGGAAAATTTCATTATACTAAAATAGATGCTTTGTAACATTAATTGTACACATTTCATAGTTGAATAAATAATGTAAATAACTTAGAAAAGAAAATAAAGACAATTCAAAGCTGGGCCGAGGATTTAATATATTTGAAAAAAAAGTAAAATTTGGTGAAAACAAAAAAAGTATGCAATGGAGATTCATTAGCTAAGTTATTAACCTTATTAAACATTTTAATCTTATTAAAGTAAAGAAAAAAAGATACAGGTTCTAAAGTAGTATTTCTTTCCAATCTTTGTTTTTTCTTACTGTACTATTTTGGGAACTATAGAATATTTCTATATTACCATATATTTAAAAAATAGAATATATTGTCCTATATGCATTTTTCGGCAGACATTTATTGGATCCCTTACTGTGTGATAGGATTAGATAAAATTTAGTGAATTATTTTAAGCAAAGAATTTATGCTAGGTATATAGGTAAGTTATCAGAAAATGGTACCCCAAATGTATATACAAGCATTTAAAACTCAAATGTCAATACCATACCAAACATCCCTTGGATACATGCATCATGAGATGGTGAAATTATCTGAAGTTAGTGATTAGATGGAAAACAAGTTCTTTGTGGGAGAGGAGTCAATCAACTGAGAAACTAGAATTTTTGAAGACTCATCTGGGTGGATATTGGAATTGCCATAATATATGACAAGAATGGAGTTGAAGAGAGTGACAGTGAGCTACAGCTAAAATCTTAACAGAAGTCGGGAAGGGGCCAGAGGTTGGTGGAAGACTTCTCTAAGGGGTAGTAGCAGAGTAGCAGAGAATATCTACTGATGTCTGGAGAACATAGCTAGGAGATTTTAGGGAGGAGAAATGGTATTGATCAGGAAGCGGCACTGAGGAGCAAAGAACATTATCCCAATCCCATTCTCAGTGACTTAAGTGGAGTATGAGAGAAATATCACTTTTTTTTTCTTTTTTTTTTGAGATGGAGTTTCACCCTTGTCACCCAGGCTGGAGTGCAATGGCGCCGTCTCAGCTCACTGCAATCTCCGCCTCCCGGGTTCAAGCAATTCTCCTGCCTCAGTCTCCCAAGTAGCTGGGATTACAGGTGCCTGCCACCACACCCGGCTAACTTTTGTATTTTTAGTATAGACGGGGTTTCATCATGTTGGCCATGCTGGTCTTGAACTCCTAACCTCAGGTGATCCGCCTGCCTCGGCCTTCAAAAGTGCTGGGATTACAGGCGTGAGCTACCACGCCCGGCCAAAATATCCACCTTTTAAAAGCCGGTGTGTGATGCAGAGTCATCAGGCTTCATTTGGGGTGGTGATAAGGGGGAAATATACAAAAGTGAAAGATAAAAGGGCTTTGTTGTTGAGTTCCGGAGAGGATAGTGAAAGAGTATCCAGAGACAGAGAAAATTAAAGGATGAGGATTAGAGTCTTAGGGATCAGGAATGACTTGGAAGTTCTGAGTTCCTTCTGGTGACTGACATAAAATGAGAAAATGAACATGATGAGTTAAGTCCTAATTTTTCCTAAGCAGACAATAGTGATGAGGCTATGAAGGTCAGTGGGAGCAGAGAGATGGTTGTAAAGTCATGTCAGGAGTGTTCAGATTGTTCAGGTGTCCACTTAACTCTTGATGATGGACCTCTCTGACCCAGCAAAGGGTGTGTAAAGTCCTCTTGACTTCTACTGATGGACCCTTCTGGGCTAGCAATGGGTCAGCCTTTCTCCCTTGACCCTAATCAGCATTGGTCTGTAGAACATATACCACGTGTGGGCTTCTTTCTGACATACACAGTGTTATGAAATAATAGGATAGAAGGAATCCTAGTATTCGTTTGCTTGGGATGGTCAAGGCAGTCTTCTGTATTGGTAATATTTTATCTGAGACCTGAAGGAAGACTATGCTAATATTTTGATGAAGTGTTTTCTAAATCGACAGAGCAATAAATACAAAGACCCTGAGGCAAGATCATGCATTGACTATTCCAGAAACAGCAATAAAGTCAGCAAGCAATGAGTGAGAGAAGGGTGATGAGAGAAATATGAAGATGTAAAATAAAATATGCTTATAACTATAAACCAAATTTAAATGATAAGACAATAAACTACAAACATTGGCAAGATCTATAAAATACAATTCCTATTTTTGAAAAGTGCATTGATCAAATCAAAATATTGTAGAAAACATACATAAGCTACGTTAAGTATAATTAAAATAGCCTAATTATACAATGGAGGTTTTAACTATTTCAGGTATCTCTATTCCACATTGACTCAATGCAGTCATCATGCTGGTTGAAAATATCACTCTAATGCACAGAATATTGTTGAATTCAGTAGTATAATGATAATTAGAATATACATGTCTGACAAGAAAAAATATACATCTTCTCTAATAATGTAGAGAATCTGCTTGTACAAATGAGTTTTTCACCTATCTTTGGGGAAATTATGTGAGCCAAGCAGGTACCGGCAGATACAAAATAACTGATCCAACCTGACAGTTGTTTTTTTTTTATTCACACCATATAATTTTTGTTTAAAAAAATCTGTCAAAAGAGGTTCCATTAGTGTCAGGTAAAGATTCCTAACAAGCATAGTTTTCACTTGTTCTAAAATGATAGTAACAAGTAAAACTTAAATGGGAAACTCCTATTACAAATAGATGATAATTCTTTATCTTATCTATTTCTTTTCTTTGATCCTGGTGTTCTCCTGGAAATTCTAAAGGAGTTGTGACTTTGACAAATCTGATGTCTGCTAGTTCTTACGGGGCCGTACTAAGAACAAATAAAACATTATACTTTCTGCTGTAATTGTTTTCATTAAGCCATGATTTACTAGCAGTTAGAACTGCAACTTACACTGGTCATTTTCTTTTAAAATAACATAGTGAAATTATTGGAAAGATTTAAAGCTGTTATTAATATTGCTAGAAAATTTCATTTCAAATTTAAAATATTTCCCTCACTTTCTCTTCTCTCCATCCATCTCGCCTTCCATTTGTCTCTCATGAGAGGGTGGGAAGATGAGGTAATTTGGGCAATAGATATAAATAAATTAAAAACAAATCAATTAAGGTTTAATTTCATTTACATGCAGATTTCCAAGTGATTTTTATTAGAATTAGTAGATGTTATATATATATATATATTTCTAATGGCTTGAAGTTGTTACACTGAATATTGAATGTACACTAAAATCATGCAAATTTAAGTAATTTCAAACAATCTTATCTTTAAACATGCAATTTCAATATTTTATTAATAATCTGAAAATACTTGTTAAACATACTATATTGGGCAAGGTTTTAGGTGCAAAATTAAATTAGACATACAACCAAAATATAACCTTCTGGCCAGCTGGGACTTGTTTTTTAGTTGCTTCCATATCCTCAGTGAATAGAACAGTGCCCTTCAGGGAGTTACATTCAAAAATATCTAACAAATATACACTTTATGTGAATGTCTCTATTAGAATAAATGTATGTATTTGAGTAAATGAAGGAATGTGCTCCCATCTCCTTTCCTCTGTTTTACAGAGGGAGTCACACAAATAAGTTAGTACACTGTAGTATGTGATGAGTATAATGATGGCCATATATAATGAATGCTTAGCAAATGTAGAAGTAATAATCTAAACCAGATTACAGGGTTTTTTGTGCTCCCAAGTCTATGAAGAGAAGACTAAAGATGAATGGTAAAGATTTATAGTACACCCTTCAGGGGTTGATATATACATTAGGCACCATAGAACATTGCTCAGGGAAGGCAAGTACACTTTTCCAGCAACCAGAAAAATATTTAAATTGTGAAAAATGTTTTAGTTTCTATGAAAAAAGATATGCAAATTAAAAACTAAGAAATTTTAACTAAATGTCTATTAATTTACCTCTCAAACTTATCAGTTGTGCAATTGAAACCTTTTCATAGTTAAGATTTTCTCCCTTTGCAAGTATCTCCCAATATGCATAATAATTATTTTTTGAGATTACAGACAATTGTAATGAAGTGAAAACACAAGTTTATAAAGTGCTTTCCAATTTTGCAAATATGAAAACCCATAATGCTTAATATTGGGCAAAGGTAAATTTTCATGTATTTAAAATATTATGGGGTGACGCCACCAAAACAAAGAAATGACACCTAGGACATCAGAGGACCTACAATACCTCTGTATCATCTCGTCTTATACTGCCTCTAACACAGGCTGAAAATAAATGTAATTGGCCATGAATGTGTATGGCATCTATCTTTTAAGTAAGCAACTTCCAAACCTAATTTTTTGTTGATGGTCACTAGAGTAGAAACCTGAAACTCAAAATTTTATCATTTTTATTTTTCAGTGAGATCATAAAGAATATACAAATAGAAAATTAACATATGTGTCCTTCATTTAAGATTCTTTAGGAAAATTGCTGCCTTAAATAAAGTTCTTAGTGCCTTTTTCAGCAGACTCTACATCAGCCTGGACAAATTTCTTGGGACAGTTTTGGTTCATGAAAAGGTCATGAAGAAAGGCCCAGTGGTAAAAGATCATCCCTGAAGACTTTTAAAAAAATTACACTGAAACAACATTTCCCTTAGAAAATAAACAGAAATTCTATAAACTATCATACAACTAAAATAACCTGGAGCTTAAATGTTTGAGTTTATTCATACATTAAGATCTTGTAAACTTTCATATATATGTATTTTATAATATATACACATTATTTACATGTATATATACCTTATGAAACATACAGTATTAAATACAAAATACATATTCACAACATATATGCATATGTACACATTTGTGTGCTTGTACACACACGCGTGTACACAAACACTCTTTGGAGAATCCTTATTAGTTGATTTGTATATGCTTTGCTATCATTTTAATTAGGCCTAATTAAATCATTTTAATTAGGCAACCTTTGAATCTAAATCACCCAAGTGCCCAAGTGTTCAGTACTACCAACGTTTCTGGAGTCCCTATTTCTTTCAGAGGATATTTTGGTGTTGTTTTATATATATATATATATATATATATATATATATATATATATATATATATACACACACACACACACACACACGTACACACATATATGTTACATATTGTATATAATATACATTATACATGTGTATATAGATGTGTATGTATATTATATATGTAGGTATACATACACATATATAAGTGTATATATATGTATAATATATATACTATATAATATAATTGTTTTCATTAAGCCATGATTTACTAGCAGTTAGAACTGCAACTT
Organism: Homo sapiens; assembly: GCF_000001405.40. Classification (NCBI taxonomy): domain Eukaryota; kingdom Metazoa; phylum Chordata; class Mammalia; order Primates; family Hominidae; genus Homo; species Homo sapiens. Next base: position 84,313,130 of record NC_000007.14, read on the forward strand.
ACACTGGTCATTTTCTTTTAAAATAACATAGTGAAATTATTGGAAAGACTTAAAGCTGTCATTGATATTGCTAGAAAAGTTCCAAATTTAAAATATTTCCCTCTCTTTCTCTTCTCTCCATCCATCTCGCCTTCCATTTTTCTCTCATGAGAGGCTGGGAAGATGTATATATATGTATTATATACGTGTGTATATAATACATATATATATATGTATATGTGTGTGTGTATATATATATATATATATATATATATATATATATATATATATATATATAAACTATACGTGACTCCTGATAAGAGAGTCTTTCTTGGCTACAGTTATGAACCTTGATACAATCACTATTTTGGAACCTTCCTAATGTTTGCACTGTCTCCTATTCTAAAATTATTTGCAGTATAGTTTTATTATTCTTCTCTTTGAAATATTATGTATGAAATATTTCTCTTTAATCACACTATACACTTGACTCTAATTACATCATGCATTGGTATTTGTCATTACTTTTTGAGAATATCAGCTTGATGATTTTAAATACTTATTTTTTTCTGAAGTTCTGTTGTCATCCTAAGCGACAGAATCCAATTTTGAAAGTAAAACAGCTAAAATCATAGGAAGAGTAAAATTGTACTTCTATAAGCCCTCTCACGTAAGCTATTTGTTTTGTAATTCTGTGAAAACAAAAATATTGACTCATAGTTCTTTGGGAATAAATCAAGTTAATTACTTAGTTTCCTCCTCTGTGGTCTTAATCATTTTAACAATAGGCTTTCATTCTTTACATTATCTGATAAGAAACTGGTATTTTTTTCTTCTTCAGTTGGATGGCACCATATACAGTTTTACACTTAAAGTAATAGATAAAACTGTGCTCATTGAATGAGTTTATGATAGCAAGGTCTTGAAGTGTATGCCCAAATGTGACTTATGGTGAGTGAAAATGGATTATCATTTTACAAATATAATACTCAACATTTTTACCCTTTCTATGTGTGTATGATAGCTTCTCAAATTCATTCTAAAATTGGTCTATATCCTAGACATTTTAATAGTCTGATGTCTATAAAATCCTCTCAGAATTCAGTCAGTGAGTCTATCTAGTTTTGCAATTAGATAAAGACATAACATTTTAATTAAGGCAGAGATTGTCATAATCAATGATTTAGTTCTTTGGTAATATCAGAGACATAAACATTACAAACAGACATCCGTGCAATAGGATTACACTTGCCACACCACTGATTTTATACTTAGTCATATGACATGTAGTGTAATGGGACATGACTGCAAGTAACCTGTGCCACATCTGAGCAGAAGCTTTAAGATCCAGCTCATTGTTCTGCTCTTGCTCTTTTCTTTCTGCCATAAGACTAGTATGTCTCAGATTGGGGTTGGTTCTTCATTTTAGAATGATGGTGCAGAGCCAAAGCTGTCCATGATAGACATATAATGTGTGCAATATATAAACTTTGTTGTAATAAGCTATATAGATAGATGTTGAGATCATTTGTTACCATAGTACGACTTATTCTAGACTCACTGAACTATGCAATAGAAAGTGCACAGATGCAAAAGGCATATAGAAGATAGCATATCAGAGACAATAGTCACTTTTGCTCAATCAAGCAATGCTTGTTTTAGACAAGATTGATTTTATACTGTGTCTGCCTTAATACAGCAAGAATTTGAGGAAATTGCCAGCTAAGACTCGATTAGAAAGTCATTTTTTCAAGTAAAAGCTGGTTTTCTTTAAATATAAATGGGAGGAAAACAATGAAAAACTAATGAGGAAAGTAATTTGATTTGTTTTAATCTCATAATAAATCCAACATAGTACTATAAAATCATGAAGAATAAATAACACATTAACTGAAAATATTATCTGGAGAAGCTTTTGGTTTGCTACGAATAATTTTCTACTCACTGTTCTAGCTGGTGGAATGAGATCAACAAGTCAATCATTTCCAGAAGGGTAATTAACCTTACCAATATCAAACTCCAAAAGATTAAACATTGTATCAAGTAGAAATTTAAAGATTATAAATGTAATCAGTAAATTTGTCAGATCACTGAACAGGTATGATACGAAATAGCAGACGATTAGGCTGGAGAGGACATGAAATATTCTCCTCCAGATTTTTTTAACTCTTGAAAATCTTAGTTTCATTAATGACACTACAACTGCAGGCACAAACCCCATGAAGGAAAGACCACAATATATAAGAGTCTACACATTTTGTATTTCTTCTTGGATGATCGACACAATAACAATACGCAGGATTTTGAGCTCTATTTTTAAAATAGCAGGTATGATTATTAAGTCATATAATCATTGTATAGAAACAAATAAAAAATCATCTAGATGGTCTCTGGTTAAAAACAGACTTCAAATAGTTTATCTCTTTCTAAACTAATTATGTAAGAAATCTTTGGTGACTTAAATCTTTCTCAGATTTCATCCTCTCTTAAAAAAAAGATGAAACTGATAAATGCAATAAACTACATATTCTTGTCCTAAATAACTAAATCTAGCAAATGTTTCAGTAGACATATGGTTAAGAATTTCTGAGGAGGGGCAGCAAAAAAATTCTTCATAAAATTTTATGCAAAAACTTATTTCAATTACATTCAAATAGATTACTGTGATAACTAGGTTTTATATTAAGATGTTTTGATGCTATTTAATTTTAACTACAAATTCACTCGATAATCTGATTATTAATCTAAATATATGTATTGGATACAATTGTAGGGATTACTCTTTTTCACATTTTATGATTTTATGTACTTTTTGTATTACTAATATATATTTTTTCTTTTTAAAATTCTGTCTTTCTTCCTCTAATTTTATTTTCTTTTCTCTTTTGTTATTTAGAAAAAGAATGGGAGCAGTGGTGCACATCTGTAGTCCCAGCTACTCACGAAGTTGAGGCAGGAGGATTTCTGGTGCCCAGAAGTTCACTTGAAGGCCTGCCTGCACAATATAGGAAGACTCTATCTCAAAAAAAAAAAAAAAAAAAAAAAAAAAAAAGTGCTCCCTGTTTTCAAACTAAACTTCATTTATCGTCTTTTTTCATTTTAATTTGAGAGAAGTTAACTGTGATAAAATTTCTCAAATTAGAAAGACCACTGGTTAATTTATTATGTATAATTTTTAAGTTGCAGTATAATTATTGTAACCAAATTAAATCCAAAGTAAGCACCAATATAAAGAGTTACTTGGAAATAAATTAGTTAATATTTTCAAGTAACGATACTTTAAAATCCTTAAAATGAAAAAAAAAGAGTTATTTCACAATGCACAGAACAAATGTACACAAAGTAAAAATTCACTTACAAATATACAAAAAACTCCTTAGTTTTTGGATCATACATAGTATATTACCACCCTATGAAGTCCACCATTAACAAGATAAAAGAGGTGCTATAAGTCTATATATTAAAATTATGCTTGGAAGCATTAAGAGAGTAGATAGAGATAGAAAGAGAAAGAGAGATTTACCATTTAAGAGCTCCTGTGAATCTTCTCTCCTGTTACTTGATGATATTTTTATAAAGTGGATTTTTTTATCTTCCATAATCACATTCTATTACTTTATTTTAAAGCTATAATCCAGAAGCAGATTTTTTTTTCCAAAACTGTTAGTGGTCCAAGAAAATAAAGGACAAGGAGAGGTTGCGGGGCGCCCACAATCAAGCCGATTAAACTGCAGGATCTGCGGTTTGTCAAAAACCTTTTTGCTGCTTCACATTTTCTAAAAATGGAAAAGGTGAAGCTTTCACAAGTAGCAGGCTCCAAATAAACCAGTACGCCCAGCACAAAGCTTGTGATAACAGCAAAAACATTTTTTTTTTCGCACATTAGGAAATTATACTATTAGCTGGTACCCATCATCATAATAGGGCACTTCTCCATATTAACGTGAGATTTGGCTTATGGACCCTAAAAACTCTTTCTATCCCTCAGGCTAAATTTGTCCCAAAGAAGCATAGTCACAATGTAGCCTTGAGGGACTTTTATACAAAACTTATGGGAGTATACAGATTCTTTCCTTGGAAGGGAAAAATATAAAACAAAACTGGGTCACTAATGGTGATTGTTAGTACAGTAAAACTGAGAACACTCCTTTACTTTTTCTCCTACATTTTATTTTCTGTTTCACTCTCTGATTTTCTACAGATAAAAGTACTGTGTGTAGAGAATAAAATATGGACTATATGATAGTCACACATGATGCTATGTATCAGTGACAGCATACTCTATCAAAATTCATTTATTTCTGTCCATCACCCTATCTAGGTGTTGAAGTAAGTCTAAGGCTTTTTATATGTGTGTGGAATAGAGCTTTATCATAAGATAGCTTCCTTCTTTTTATATTTTAACTTATATTTTTACAAAATCTTTTCTTACCTAAATATCACTATTTCTCAGCTTAAAATATTAAAAACAAATATAACATGATTTTATTGATATTATTCTTCATTTTTCCAGGCATCTGCTTTTCTTATTCTAAAATTTGTGGTTTATTTCACATTCACCATACTTGACTATTCCTTGTCTCAACATATTTCATCAGCTATTGTGGTTGTTGAGTTGCCAATAAATTATTTAACTGAAATAACTGTTCTCTGGTGGACAGCATTTCTTAGGAAAAACTCCATGAAAATGAAACTACTTTAGGAAGTCTTGAAAATGCAAAACAGTATTAAAAATATCTGATTTCTGGGTAAGCTTTGAAAAAAATATGATTTAAGGTATATTTGTTTCTTAAAATTCAATTTATCTAGAGACAACTGGTGTATTGTTATGCCATAAAAATAGCATGAATAATAAAATAAGCAAAAGAAACAAACAAAAAGAGTTGTCCATAAAATGTTTTTAGGTCATATCCAGGCCTCCATTTTTTATCCATTAAAATGAATAAACAATAACAAATTCTTAGGCAGTTAGTACAATATTGCTCTTTTTTAACATTTAAAATAAAAGAAAAACATGCACTTAAAAATAAAAATATACATTTTTATATTTAGTACCATGATTTCTTTAGCTATTACATGTTAATACCAAATTGATAATCACCAACTGTTAATAGTGATGATTTGTGATGATAATTTTGAAACACAGTTTAAATAAGGAAACCATTAAACGTTCTGTATTTGCAACTTGTGTGAATAAATGATTTCTTGGTTTTTTTTTTTTTTTTTTTTTTTGAGACGGAGTCTCGCTCTGTCGCCCAGGATGGAGTGCAGTGGCGGGATCTCGGCTCACTGCAAGCTCCGCCTCCCGGGTTCACGCCATTCTCCTGCCTCAGCCTCCCAAGTAGCTGGGACTACAGGCGCCCGCCACTACGCCCGGCTAATTTTTTGTATTTTTAGTAGAGACGGGGTTTCACCGTTTTAGCCGGGATGGTCTCGATCTCCTGACCTCGTGATCTGCCCGCCTCGGCCTCCCAAAGTGCTGGGATTACAGGCGTGAGCCATCGCGCCCGGCCGATTTCTTGGTTTTATACTCAATGAGATTGATAGAACAGAGCTGATGGATCAGTGGGCATAAAAAGCCTTTCCTGTACACTTATATTGCTCAATAATATTTTTCAACAGCCACTCTTATCTTGTGACTTGGGTGATAATATGCAATCCCATCATACCCAGATTATACATTTAGGTATCATCTTGGGAATGCATTGCTCAATGTATTTATGTAAATGGCTATCACAAATGATATAAAGTCACCAGATAATGCAAATAAACAAGGCCAATGAAACAGTAACCTTAATTTCAAGGGACTTATTGTCTCCTAATATACTACATAGATGTTGATTAGTTTAGCAATTTGTCATGTATCAGGCACCAAGGCGCAGAGGTAAGAATAACAGCAGCTACTATTACTGGACATTTATTATAATTCAAGGACTGTTCAAAATGCCTAATACCTATTGGTTATTTTAATACTTAAAACATTTCAGTGAGTTTGTTATTTTAAATTCACTGTACAGGTAAGAAAATGGAGGGAGAGAAAGCTCAATGAATTTGGATAACCAGTGACAATATTAGAAAATTATTCGACCTGATTGAAAAGATTCAGATCTTAATTAGGAGGTTCTGTGGCCTTTGCATCAATGTGATCAGGAATATTTAGAGGGAAAAGGAAAGCTGGAAGAGTCAATAGACCAGAGTGCTCAGCTCATTGGTGCTAGGCTCTAAGAAAGGGCAATTTTTGTAAAAAATGCAAATGCATTTTTGTTGAGTAAGTCTGGTGCACCAAACAGGAAGGGGGAAGGGGGTAAAGAGGTAGATTATATCCAGGATTTACTTCAGTGGCATAATAATTTCCTTAACTTCATCAGTAAAAGTTACTAAGAATCCCAAGGCTTATTAGCCAGGAGATTCACAGACCACCAAGAATTCCATGTAAAATTCACCTGCTAGATGAACTTGCATTGGAAATTTTCTTAAATAACATTTAACTAAAGATTGGCATTTCCTTCATTTATAAAAATAGATAACAAACCACAGTGGTATTAGCAATATCTGTGACATTATCACCAAAATATATTGCAGATATTTTCATATCACAATATACTTCTTTTGTAAATCTTAAAATCTCATTTATACTCATAACTTTTAAAAAGTTGTGTTATTAACAGGTCTTTCACTAGATCCTCTTATTTAACGATTTAAATGAAAAGCACATGTATTGCTAAATCACAAATTTGTGTTTTTCAATATTTTTATAATTTTCACAATATAATGGATTTTCCTTGTTAACACTATATATTTTATATTACGCATTTAAAAATCACCATTCTAAGAAGTGGTTCAGAGAATTAATTCACTACACTGCCAAAGACAAGAAAGTAAATGATTTCTTTTTGCTAAACCCAAAGTAGGAGCCCAACTGATAGCAAGGACTTCAGTTGAATCACTTCTCTGTTACCATATCTGACACTGTCACACTTCTGTTTCTTATTTTCTGGGCCCACACTATGATTATGATAATGGAAGCACTGATTCCCTTGACCACACATCAAGATAATTTGGTAATAAATTTAATATGGTTAGTCTTAATAATACCTTACAGGGTATATATATTATAATCTCCTTCCTTCCATAAGAAAATAATTTTTTGTCTCTGGGTATTATAATTTATTACCTTTTTTGTCCATCTTAAATTAATAATCTATGTATAGGCTTTTTGCTTACTCTGTTAGGATATAGTTAAAATAATATGTTTCTTCCAGTACAATGAAAAAGTTAAGTTTCAGCAGGAATTCCTCCAAAGAATTTCTAAAAGTTTATTAAAAAAATCTAAGTAGTTGTTTCCTATGCTAGCCTAATCATATACTTTATATTGCTAGCATCAACTAATAATATTATTGAATGCATGTAGTTGGAAATGTAAAATTATTTATAAAAAGTAAAAGTGAAATACAATTTCATTTGCAAAATAAACGAACAGTTTAAGGTATCTTTGTTAGGTCATTTTGTTCACAGAAGGGAAGTTTTAGTGTACTTGAGAAATAAATTATTTTTTTTTTCTGCACATGGGTTTATTTCACAGTAAAAATATAAACTATGTACAATTGTTGAATTGCAATTATTATACAATGTGGGATTGTCATGATGTAGTGAGAGAGCAGGAGATTTGAAATCACATGAAATTTCTCCAAATTACTTGCTGTGTTACACTAGTGCAGGTTGTCTAATCTCTCTGTGCCTTCCTTCTTTCTTTAGTAAAATGAGTATCATTGTGATTTTCATGTAAAATTATTGTTAAGATGAAATGATGAGGTATATAGAAATGTTTGACTCACTGGTGTGTTAAATATATACTGGCCATCAATATTGGTGAATTACCTCATATTAGTCCAATATGTATTTAGCTGAATTTCATTCTTTCTTGTTGACTTTAGGAAAGAGTTCTTATTTGATAATAACAAGTTTGATTACAATCACAGTTTTCGAAATTTTAGTTTACCTCGAAAAAATCAAGTGATTTGGACACAATGTATGGAGGAGAACACATAGATTGTAAACCTAAATCCAGTTGATAATTCTAATCCCATGTCATAATCATTAGTTCTCTTTTGGTTAACTCTAACTGTATCATTACAGATTTAACTCAACAAATATTTATTCATGAAAATTGCTCTTTATTGTATGTTTTTCCAAGTTACATTTACATGATTTGTGAAACAAAATGAACTATAATTATCACTAAAATTAAAATGTTAGGATACTAGTTTATGAAAGTGCAACAGAGACTCAATATAACACAATCTCTCTGCACAGTAAAATCAGCAATAAGCATAAGAAAGTAAAATACACATGATCTAAGACCAGACTGCCTGGGTTGATATAATTGCTCTGCAACTAACCAGTTATGTGACCTTAAGTTTAATTGTATGTAAAATGATACTAATACATAGCAATACTAGGTACTAGTCCATTTTCATATTGCTATGAAGAAATACCAGTGGCTCACGCCTGTCATCACAGCACTTTGGGAGGCCAAAGCAGGCAGATCATGGGGTCAGGAGATCGAAACCATCCTGGCTAACACAGTGAAATCCCGTCTCTACTAAAAATACAAAAAATTAGCCGGGCGTGGTGGCGCACGCCTCTAGTCTCAGCTACTTGATAGGCTGAGGCAGGTGAATCGTGTGAACCGGGGAGGCAGGGGTTGCAGTGAGCCAAGATAGTGCCACTGCACTCCAGCCTGGCCGACAGAGCGAGACTACGGAAAAAAAAAAAAAAAAAAAAAAAAAAAGAAGAAGAAGAAGGAGGAAATACCTGAGACTGCATAATTTATAAAGAAAAGAGGTTTAATTGACTCACAGACTCACAGTTCCGCATGGCTGGGGAGGACTCGGAAAACTTATCATGGTGGAAATCACCTCATCACAGGGTGGCAGGATGGAGAATGAATGCAAGTAGGGGAAATGTCAAACACTTACAAAACCATCAGATCTCATGAGAACTCACTCACCATCATGAGAACAGCATGGGGGAAACTCCCCCCATGATTCCATTACCTCCCACCAGGTTCTGCCCTTGACACATGGAGATTATGAGAGTTACAATTCAAAGTGAGATTTGGGTGGGGACACAGAGCCAAACCATATCATACTACTTACTCCATAGTGTTGTGAGAATTAAATGAATTAATACTTGTAGAACAAATGTCTGTCACAAGCATCCTACAATAAAATACACTTATTTTCTCACTGTTATCATCATTCATATTTTAATTATGGATATGGCTTGGCTATGTCCCCAACCAAATCTCACCTTGAATTGTAATAATCCCCATGTGTCAAGGGCAGGGCCAGGTGGAGATAATTGAATCATGGGGGCAGTTTCCCCTATGCTGTTCTCTGGTAGTAGTGAATAAGTTTCACAAGATCTGATGGCTTTGTAAATGGGAGTTCTCTGCACAAGCTCTCTCTCTTGCCTGCTGCCATGTAAGATGTCCCTTTGCTCTTCCTTCATCTTCTGCCATGATTGTGAGGCCTCCCCAGCCATGTGGAACTGCAAGTCATTTAAACTTCCTTCCTTTATAAATTATAAGTCTCAGGTGTGTCTTCATTAGCAGCGTGAGAACAGACTAATACAATCATTTTAAAGAAAACATAACTTTTTAGAAAGATACAAAAATAGTATTTGAGGATTTAAAAAATGTGAAATCACATCAGTCATGTTTAAAGTCCATACAGGCTTCCTGAAGGACTTTGCATTTGAGAAGAGGGGCTTCCATTTCTAATACTGAGGGAGAATAGCATGGCAGGTATGTGTGTATTCAGTAGAGCCACACTGCCTAGATTGGAAACTTGATTCTACCACTGCATTCACTGGACAAAATTTGGCAAACAACCACAACTGTGGCCTTCATTTTTTAACCTGTAAAGTGAGGAAAATAATAGTATACCCTTTGTCAGTGTATAATGAAGATTAAATCACTATTTAAATGAACATGATCAAATACTATGATTAAATGCATAATAAATGCTCCATAAGTATTAACAACAATGCTTTCTTTAACGTTCTCTGAAGATTAGCTATCAATAGATTGACTTTAATTAAACTAATTGTGCGTTTTGTTCTATAGTGTAATATTTATGTCAATCAAAAGTATCAATACTCAAGAGTACTTGATTTCCTCTTCAAAAGATGCAATTCACTGTGGTAGGGTTGCTAAAGTTTGCTAATATTCATGTTAGCAAAGCTCTTAATCTACATGTTTTTTGTCACTAATCACTACATAATCAAGTGTGCCACATATGACAGACAGACCGCCTTCAGCTAAAGCAGAACGTAAGTACAATTCCTTTCTTATAAAGAAAACACTTCTCTGATGAAGAGAAATCATGTCATTTCCTGAGTGGAAGTTCACAAGGGGGTACTTGCAATGTACAAAGAGTGAAAACGAGTAAATTTTGAGTGGAAACATAGGGAAAACTCTGAAAAAATAGTATAAAATTAAAAAAAAATGCTTCCATGCTAAATATGACCCCTTCTTACAATGAACTATAGTTCTTTAAAAATGGAAAGCTTATTCTCTGATTATATTCTGTCATAAATCATATGGACAGATGTGCGCCTTAGTCATGCATCATGGTTGATTACCATCATTCAAGGTTTATGCAACACAGGCTAAGAATTTTATTTTTTAATTTAGAATTTAATTTTCTGATATTATAACAGACAGTAATATCCCATGAATTTTTCTTTGCTGTAGTACATCTGCACAATAGAAATATTTACATCAAACATCTTTCTTTGTGACTTTAAAATCATATATAAATCTGTTTATTCTCTTCTAGAGAGTAGCATATTTTAGTTTTTAAATGTGGTTTACAATAAAGTGTTTGAAAGTTTGTAATTATGTATTACCTTTCCTAGCTGTTAAAATAAATGGTAAATCAACACAATGTCAAAACGTGTAAATAAATAAAATTATCTGAAGAACTAGTGTTTATCAGTGTGATGGCAGAGCCAATTTAAATTTTTGGCACAAAGTCAAGGATTTTAAAAAATTACAGTGTGTGTGAAGACCTTTCAAATATTGTTGAGCTACAGCAGCCTGACTTAGGTGGGTGGGATAAATCCATAGGATGGTTTCCTTCAAAAGCAAACTCTATAGGACCAGAGTAACCTATTGGAGCTTCCATTCAAATCTTGTTCATTAGTGCAAGTCAGAACTGTTACACAGAGAAGATTAACATGAGATTACTCAACATTTCTATTAGATAGAGTCCAGATTTGACACTGGTCATGGATATAAAGTTAATGCTGAATTGGCTTTGGAATTCCATCTCATAGTTATCTGCCAGCTCCAGTGAATGAACAAAAACAAGATTGTCATAAAGCAAAAAGAAAAGAACATATGGCTGAAACAAAACAAATGCTGTTTTGGCTGATAGATAGCAAAATGGTAATTATATATACATTGGCAATCATATTTTATTAAACTAGAACTCTAGATAACAAAATATGTAATTTTTTTAACTTTAACAAGAAAATTCAAAATAATTTCTGAATTTATTTTTCAAAGAGACTTCAATTTATTATGAAGCACATGGTCTTAAAAATCATTTTCTAGTCTTGTGAAAAATACATACCAAAATATGCTTAGCTGAATAGACTACAATATATAGGTGAAAATGGAAAAAAAAGACCAGACTACAGTATAATCATTAATCATAAAAATAACTTCATTCTTTCAACATTCAACAAATACTTATTGATTGATAAAATGTATAAGGCATGTGTGGCATTGTAGAAAACACTATAATTCGGTAGATGCAATCCACTCCATCCGTCAAAGACCT